>NC_000014.9:77490500-77642016 GCF_000001405.40 Homo sapiens | reverse complement strand
GCCCTTGGCTCTTCCCTGCACGAGGGAGCGGGGAAAGAGGGTGGAAATCACGCCCTTCTCCCCGCGCTGACCCCGGCTCCCGCTCTCCCTTCTCGGAATGACTCCGTGCCCACCCTCACCGCCCTGCCATCCTCCTGCGATCCTTATCAGGGTCGGCCCCGTGGAAACCCGGCCATCCTCAGGGCGACGTTCTGGCCTCCAGTACAGTTTTCTGACCCCCGTGGGGAACCAGGATCAAGGCCGACCCCAATCTGTTTCAGTGACCTTTTTCTAGAGAGAAAGGTTGTTGCCAGCGATTGCCGGGAACACACACACACCAACACAGTTCTCTTTGGGACTTCAGCCTAAAATAACCGGACGGCCTGATTTTCAGTCTTTGGGCGGGGAGAGGAGGGAATGGGGGATGGTCTAATCCTACCCAGTGTTTCCTCAGTGACAACTTTTCTTCTCTAGGGCCACTACTTTCCTTCCTTATTTCTCTTCTCACCACTTCCTCATTCCTAATTCAAGAAAAGGCCTTAGGAGATTGACTTTAGCTTTTTTTCTTTTTTTTATAATGAGGTAGGGCCTCACTCTGTTGCCCAGGCTGGAGTGCAGGTGCACGATCTCGGCTCACTGGCAGCCTAGAACTCCCGGGCTCAGAGGATCCACCCACTTTAACCTCCCAAGTAGGAGCAAAGGCGCACACCACCACGCCCGGCTACTGTTTTGTTTATTAGTTTGTTTTGCTTTTTCAGACAGGGTCTCACTCTGTCACTAAGGCTGGAGTGCAGTGGTGCTGTAACTGTCCAAGGGGTTCACCTTGCCCGCTGACTAGACAGAGTCCCATTAATCAAGACAGGGGAATTGCAATAAAGAAAGAGGAATTCATGCGGAGCCGGCTGTGCGGGAGACCAGAATTTTATTATTACTCAAATCAGTCTCCCGGAGCATTGGGGGAGCAGAGTTTTTAAGGATAACTTGGTGGTGGGGGGCGGAAGGGGACGGGGCGGGAAGCCAGTGAGCCAGGAGTGCTGATTGGTCAGGGAAGAAATCATAGAGACTGGAAGCTGTCTTCTCGGGCTGAGTCAGTTCCTAGATGGGGGGGGCCACAGGATGAGATGAGCCAGTTTATTGAGCTGGGTGGTGCCAGCTGATCCATCAAGCGCAGGGTCTGCAAAATATCTCAAGCACTGATCTTAGGAGCAGTTTAGGGAGGGTCAGATTCTTGTAGCTTTCAGCTGCATGACTCCTAAACCATAATTTATTTTCTTTTCTTTTCCTTTTTTTTTTTTTTTTTTTTTTTGAGATGGAGTTTTGTCTTGTCGTCCAGGCTGGAGTGCAGTGTTGCCATCTCAGCTCACTGCAAACTCTGACTCCCGGGTTCAGGCGATTCTCCTGCCTCAGCCTCCCGAGTAGCTGGGATTACAGGTATGCATCACCACTCTCGGCTAACTTTTTTTTTTTTTTTGGTATTATTAGTAAAGATGGGTTTCACCATGTTGGCCAGGCTGGTCTTGAACTCCTGACTGCAGGTAATCCACTTACCTTGGACTCTCAAAGTGCTGGGATTACAGGCATGGGCCACCATGCCCGGCCTAAACCATAATTTCTAATCTTGTGGCTAATGTTACTCCTACAAAGGCAATCTAGTCCCCAGGCAAGAAGGAGGTCTGCTTTGGGAAAGGCTGTTACCATCTTTGTTTAAACTATAAACTAAGTTTCTCCCAAAGTTAGTTTGCCCAGGAATGAACAAGGACAACTTGGAGGTTAGAAGCAAGATAAAGTCGGTTAAGTTAGATCTCTTTCACTGTCTCAGTCATAATTTTGCAAAGGCAGTTTCAGTGCAATCTCAGCTCACTGCAACCTCCGCTTCCCGGGCTCAAGCGATCCTCCTGCCTCAGCTTCCCGAGTAGCTGGGACCACAGGCATATGCCACCGCACCCGGCTAACTTTTGTATTTTTTGTAGAGATGGGGTTCCACTGTTGCCCACGCTGGTCTCGAGCTCCTGAGCTCACGCGATCCACCCACCTCAGTCTCCCAAAGTGCTGGGATTACAGGCGTGAGCCACCGTGCCCAGCCTATGGCTACTGTTTTTGGTTTTGTTTTTGAGATGTAGTCTGGCTGTGTCTAGCCCAGGCTGGAGTGCAGTGGCGGAGTGTCGGCTCACTGCAGCTGCCACCTCCCAGGTTCAAGTGATTCTCCTGTCTCAGCCTCCCGAGTAGCTTGGACTACAGGTGTGCACCACCACATCCAGCTAATTTTGTATTTTTAGTAGACACGGGTTTCATCATGTTGGCCAGGCTGGTCTCAAACTCCTGACAGGTGATCCACCTGCCTCGGCCTCCTGAAGCGCTGGGATTTCAGGCATGAGCCACTGTGCCAGGCAGCTACTGTTTTTGTATTTTATTTATTGTAGAGAAGGGTCTCACTATGTTGCCCAGACTGGTCTCAAACTCCTGAACTAAAGCAATCCGCCCACCTTGGCCTCCCAAATGGTGGGATTATAGGCTTGAGCCACCACACCCTCCAGAATCTTGACTTCTTAACTGAGGAATTTCTCAGCTACCTCCTACCTACCTGTTACCTCTCTCGGCTTTCCACCTGCTGTTAGAATCTGTTCCTTCTTGCTGGGGGCAAGAAGGATTACGCCTGTAATCCCAGCACTTTGGGAGGCCAAGGCAGGTGGATCACTTGAAGTTAGGAGTTCGAGACCAGCCTGGCCAACATGATGAAACCCTTCTCTACTAAAAATACAAAATTTAGTCAGGCATGGTGGCATGTGCCTATAATCCCAGCTACTTGGGAGGCTGAGACAAGAGGATCGCTTGAGACAGGGAGGTGGAGGTTGCAGTGAGCCAAGATCATGCCACTGCACTCTAGCCTGGATGACAGAGCAAGACTCCACCTCAAAAAAGGAAAAGAGTCTGTTCCTTCTTCTCAAGCTTAATGTCCCCTTCCCACCCACTCCCTAGCATTCCTAACCTGACTCATCTCCCTTCCTTTCTGCCTCATGAAATATAGTAGACATTTTAGGGTTATCTTTTAGACCATGCATGCCTTTTCTCTGAGAATTTCCTACACACAGACGCATACCCTGCAGTGGTGGGCCCCAGGCAGCTATGTTTGGGCGTGTGATTTGCCCCTATGGCATTAACTGAGACAGAGTGTACATGACTCACAACTGGGTCAAGCATATTCTCTTTTGTGGACTTTAGAATTAGGCTTGAGAAGCTGGCTGCAGCCTGAGTTGGTTGGTTTCTTGGATGCAGGAAATGTAGATAGGGAGGGCTTTGCCATGTGAATATTGGATTGGTGAAAACTGGTCTGTAGAAAGTGCAAAGGATCCAGATTCCCAGAAGCAGAGATGAGGCTGGAGGAAAGAGGAATTCCTTAGGGGTATTACTGCTTTCTAGTTCCTGCCTCCTGATCTTCAGGAGGAGCTGCCCTTGGGTCCCTTGAGACTCACAATGGATGTGTTACAGTCTGTATGAATTAAGATGTACTTGCCTACAAGTAAGAAAGTCTAAATGATAGTGACTTGAACCACTAGCACATGTTGTTTCCTTAAGAAGTCTGGGCTGGGCACAGTGGCTTACACCTGTAATCCCAGCATTTTGGGAGGCCAAAGCAGGAGGCTTACTTGAGCCCAGGAGTTCAAGACCAGCCTAGGCAACATAGAAAGAACCTGGCTCTACAAAAATAATAATAATAATAATAATAATAATAATAATAGCCAGGCACAGTGGTGGGCACCTGTAGTCCCATCTACAAGGGAGGCTGAGGCAGGAGGATTACTTGAGCCCAGGAGGTCAAGGCTGCAGTGAGCTGTGATTGCACCATGATTGCACCACTGCACTCCAGCCTGGGCGACAGAGCAAGATCCCATCTCAAAGAAAAAGAGTCTGGAGTTAGGTAGAGCCAGGGTTTCATCAGCTCAGCTATGTCATCAAAGACTCAGGCTCTTTCCATCTTTTGGTCACTCAGCATGTTGACTCTTCATTATTTTGCTTATTGCCTCATGGTCTCAAAATAGCTGCCATGGCTCCAGATATCATGTCCTCCATTCATTGCATCAAGTCACTGGGAAAGCAGCAGGAGTAAAAGGGCTCAATTTTTGCTAAAGGAAAATCCCTCATTTTCAGAGGCCCCACAGACTTCCTTATCTCATTGGATAGAACTGTGTCACTTATCTACACTACCTGCAAGGGAGGTTGGAAGAGTAAGTGCCTGGCAAAGGAAAATTTGGTTTCCATGATTACCTTAGGCCAATTATGATTCATAGGGCTGGCAGGACATCTGCTTCTCTGAAATCAGTGAATTTCCTCCCTGTCCTTGAACAAAATCAGCAGGGAAAGAGGGGAGAGGTGATACATAGAAAACAGTATCTGGCACACCTTCCCAAAACTTCCTGTTCCATTTAAGCTAGTTTACTTATATTTGTCACTTGTAACCAAAAGAACTTTGACTAAGGATGCCTGTTAAAGAGAAATGACTCAGCCAGGCACTGTGGCTCACACCTGTAATCTCAGCACTTTGGGAGGCTGAGGCAGGTGGATCACTTGAGGTTAGGAGTTCAAGACCAGCCTGGCCAAAATGCTGAAACCCCGTCTCTATTAAAAATACAAAAAGTAGCTGGGCATGGTATGGGTGCCTGTAATCCCAGCTACTCGGGAGGCTGAGGCAGGAGAATCGCTTGAACCCAGGAAGAAGAGGTTGCAGTGGGTCAAGATCGTACCACTGCACTCCAACCTGTGTGATATTGTGAGACTCTGTCTCAAAAAAAAAAAAAAAAAAGAGAATTACCTCTTTCCATGTTTCTCAGGCTCACTTAATCACTCTTGACCTCTGCCCAATGTCTTTCTCCTCACCAGAGAGGGGGGTGGGGTGCCTGGTTGGTGTGGGACATGTTCCTCCACTGGATAAGAATGATCTATCAATGGTCCTGGCTTGGAGGATCTGGTCTCTTATTTCTTTTCTACCAGGACAAGTGGGAGAGCAGCATATGTACTTGTTGGGTTTCAAATTTTCTTTTAGGTGTGCTTCATCAAGGTCTAGTCTGGAGATCAGAAATTAACCTCACACTCAAGCCACATTCTCCCAGACCACTTATATCCATAATAAAGATGACATTTTATCAGGTGACATTTTTGTCTGCACTTAATTTGTGGAATCCAGTGCAAAATAAAAATTACCAAGAATTTCAAGATGGCAACAACAGAGCATTAAACCAAGTGCAGGGCCCTATGCAACTCACACAGGTCCCACGCCCATGAATTCAGCCGTGCACTTTAGTTCTGCATATGCTGACCCTTTTGTCTTATTTCTCTCTCTTTTTTAGATGTAATTAAAGCCTATGTCTTATTTCTCAATTGGTTCATATCTATGGTTGTTACAGTAGGTAATTGGTCAGACATGAGTGGGGCAGGAGAGGGCCTCCACCAACCAGGAGTGTCAGGAGACCATCAGATGTTGGTCAGGCAGTTGTTAACTGTCTCTCTAAAATAATAATCGGTCAGAGCCAGCCCAGGGAAAGGTAGTCTCTGGATAGATAGCAACACCTGAAACTGGTGTTCATCAGCTTCCCAATAAGACCTTGGGAGTTGGGTGAGTGGGCTCAAGCATGTGCCCACATATGCCCAGAGGCAAAATGGTAGAATTTAACTGGTATATGACCTTTCTCTAAGAACACTTCTAGGAACAAATCAGACATTGTCTTCAATAGGAGAAAGCCAAGGGAAACTCCAGAGGTGGCAAGTGAAATTACAAATTTCCCTTTTGCATTCAAGAGTGTGGGGAAAAGAAAGAGCGATCAGACTGTTACTGTGCCTATGTAGAAAGAAGTAGACATAAGAGACTCCATTTTGTTCTGTACTAAGAAAAACTCTGCTGCCTTGAGATGCTGTTAATCTGTAACCCAACCCCCAACCCTGTGCTCACAGAAACATGTGCTGTGTGGACCCAAGGTTTAATGGATTTAGGGCTGTGCAGGATGTGCTTTGTTAAACAAACGCTTGAAGAGAGCATGCTTGTTAAAAGTCATCACCACTCCCTAATCTCAAGTACCCAGGGACACAAAACACTGCGGAAGGCCGCAGGGACCTCTGCCTAGGAAAGCCAGGTATTGTCCAAGGTTTCTCCCCATGTGATAGTCTGAAATATGGCCTCATGGGAAGGAAAAGACCTGACCGTCCCCTAGCCCGACACCTGTAAAGGGTCTGTGCTGAGGAGGATTCGTAAAAGAGGAAGGCCTCTTTGCAGTTGAGGTAAGAGGAAGGCATCCGTCTCCTGCTCGTCCCTGGGCAATGGAATGTCTTGGTGTAAAGCCCGATTATATATTCCATCTACCAAGATAGGAGAAAACTGCCTTAGGGCTAGAGGTGAGACATGCTGGCAGCAATACTGCTTTTTAATGCATTGAGATGTTTATGTATGTGCGCATCAAAGCACAGCACATTTTTCTTTACCTTGTTTATGATACAGAGACATTTGTTCACATGTTTTCCTGCTGACCCTCTCCCCACTATTACCCTATTGTCCTGCCACATCTCCCTCTCCGAGATAGTAGAGATAATGATCAATAAATACTGAGGGAACTCAGAGACCAGTGCCAGCGTGGGTCCTCCGTATGCTGAGTGCCGTTCCCCTGGGCCCACTTTTCTTTCTCTATACTTTGTCTCTGTGTCTCTTTCTTTTCTCAGTTTCTCGTTCCACCTGACGAGAAATGCCCACAGGTGTGGAGGGGCAGGCCACCCCTTAAAAGAGCTGCCTACTCTATGCTAACCTCCTTCTCTGAGTGACTCTCCAAATTCTATTGGGTAATGGCGACAAATGGCACCCACCCCCTAAAAGAAAAGATTCACATTTACTTGGAGCAAGATGGGTGCCTGCTTAATATTTACCCAACGTCTGAATTCATCTTTCTCTCTAATAGCCCTGTGTTTCATGGAAAAGCTACCTAAATCTTTAACCAATAACTTTAACCTGGTCAGTCCTACCTTAGGGGTTTAAAAATAGGCCACACTGGCTGGGCGTGGTGGCTCATGCCTGTAATCCCAGCACTGTGGGAGGCTGAAGCGGGCAGATCACGAGGTCAGGAGATCGGGACCATCCTGACTAACACGGTGAAACCCCATCTCTACTAAAAATACAAAAAAATTAGCCGGACATGGTGGTGGGCGCCTGTAGTCCCAGCTACTCAGGAGGCTGAGGCAGGAGAATGGCGTGAACCCGGGAGGCGGAGCTTGCAGTGAGCCAAGATGGCGCCACTGCACTCCAGCCTGGGCGACAAAGCGAGACTCCATCTCAAAAAAAAAAAAAATAGCCCACACTTACTCAAACAAGCCTGAACAAGAAATCTAACTGAGCAATCACTTTAGTGGGGGATAACTTCTACCATATATAGGTAACCTCTTTATCTGCTCCCATTTTACAGGACTTGCACAGCAACAAACCATAACTTCCTAACAGAAAGAAAATAACTTTTGTCTAATTCAAAAGTTATAAAGGTAAAGAGGTATTTTTGGTAAAGAGTGTTACAAGAAAAGAGACTTTGTATGAAAAAGGATCTTGTATGGTAAATTCTTGTCCTAAAATAAAATAACTGGTTGTTTAAAAAGACAGACATTTAGGACAAGTCAGAAAGTCCAACCATGTCATAGATGGTCTGTATAAGTTGTGAAAAGATTCGTGAAAGGAATTTACAACTTGCCTTCTTTAAAGCCATTAAATTTGGCCAGGTGAAGTGGCTCATGTCTGTAATCCCAGCCCTTTGGAGGCTGAGGTGGATGGATCACGAGGTCAGGAGTTTGAGACCAGCCTGGCCAACATAGTGAAACCCCGTCTCTACTAAAAATACAAAAAATTAAGTGAGTGTGGTCGTGGGCACCTGTAATCCCAGCTACTTGGGAGGCTGAGGCAGGAGAATCACTTGAGCCTGGGAGGCAGAGGTTGCAGTGAGCCGAGATCGTGCCACTGCACTCCAGCCTGGGTGACAGTGTGAGACTCCATCTCAAAAAAAAAAAAAGCCATTAAATTCTAGGTAAGGCCTGGGCACATACAGAGTTAGTCATGCCCCCTAACTATGCTGGAAAAAGTCAGACCTTATCTGCACTTCCGTCTAGTGTCCTAGACTCCAAAGCTAGTACATAATTAGAATTGTTTTCTTACCAGGTTTTTCATAAAAAGTAAATGTTGCTAGGAGTTAACAGTGTAGGCCAATATGGTGAAACCCTGTCTCTACTAAAAATACAAAAATTAGCTGGGCCTGGTGGCATGCACCTGTAGCCCCAGCTACTCAGGAGACTGAGGCAGGAGAATCGCTTGAACCTGGGAGGTAGAGGTTGCAATCAGCTGAGATCATGCCATGACACTCCAGCTTGGGTGATGGAGTGAGACTCTGTCTCAAAAATAAAAGAAAAAAAAAAGAGTTAACTGTGTAACATTCACTTGAGACTACTGGAGAAAACAGTTTTCCATGCAAGGTGTATAAGAAAAGTAGAATGTGCTTTTGGTAAAAGATTACAAGAAGGCATGAAAGCCAGGTGCAGTGGCTCATGCATGTAATCCTAGACTTTTGAGAGGCCAAGGCAGGTGGATTACTTGAGGTCAGGAGTTCAAGACCAAGCTGGGCAACGTGGTGAAACCTCATCTCTACTAAAAATACAAAGAATTAGCCAGGCATGGTGGCACACACCCTTAATTCCAGCTACTCGGGGGGCTGAGGAAGGAGAATCACTTGAACTTGGGAAGCGGAGGTTGTAGTGAGCTGAGATCATGCCACTGCACTCCAGCCTGGGCAACAGAGCAAGACCCTGCCTCAAAAAAGCAAAACAAAACAAAACAAAATAAGTAATACAAAAAAGAGAAGGCATGAGAATGTGAATTTTTTTTGCTTCGTTTAGAGGGTTAAAGGATAGTTTTAAGTTGAAATAAAGCCAAAGGTTTGAGCAAATTGTGGAAGGATTGCAAAAGATTAATCTGTATGTGAACATATTGGCTAAAATTAAAGGGGTATATTATTCAGTTTATCCATAAATTGAACATTGGAATAAAAGCATAACATAGTTTTCTTAGAGCATTGTTCTGCTCTTTAACAGAAAACTATAAAGGGTCATAAAAGTTTTATGAGAATCTTACCTATGGTTAAATGAATTAAGATTGGATAGATTTGTCTATGAGGTTTTATTAAGAATTGGGTTTAACATCAATAGTACTCTAATGCAAAGGTAAAATTTGGCTTTCTTTGAACTGTATTTGTATAAATAGGTTGTTGGTATGTGTTCCAAAACTGTGTGAAACTCCTGTAATTCTGATATAACTTAGTATATGCTATCAGTAATAATTGTAATTGTTATGTTAAATTATTGCATACCACAGAGGTAACACATTTCCTTGTCAATTGTGTCTTTGACTGTGGTGGCCTTAAGACTTTTTGTCATCCACAGACAATCATTGTCTTGTTTTAACTCTTTTTAAAAGGTGGTTTTACAGGCTGGGCATGGTGGCTTATGCCTGTAATCCCAGCACTTTGGGAGACTGAGGCAGGAGGACCACTTGAGTGCAGGAGCTTGAGACCAGCCTGGGCAACATGGTGAAACCCCATCTCTACGAAATCATAAACAAATTAGCTAGATGTGCTGGTGGGTGCCTGTAGTCCCAGCTACTCAGGAGGCTGAGGTGGATGGATGGCTTGATCCTGGGAATCAGATGTTGCAGTTTGCAGTGAGCTGAGATCACACCACTGCACTCCAGCATTGGCTACAGAATGAGATCTTATCTAAAAAAAAAAGGTGGTTTTATAATAAGCTATAGAACAGGTGCTCTTTGGAGATTTTAACATTAAAATGAAGAAGAAAGAACTTTCAAGATTGTCTTGGAAAACTAATGTGTTCATAAATGTCAAGCAAAACTGGAATTAATTGACTGAAGTAATCTTTTTTACCTTTTTGCTTAAAACATTGCTAATCCTTTGTTTTTCAAAGTCAAGAAAGCTGTTCTTTTGAGCTATTTACAGCTTTTAAAATTGAGTACTCCTGTAAACAAAATTTGGAGGATATTTGTTTCTCTCTACCTGATTTCTCCAGAATTTGGAAATGATTTGTGAGTATTCTTAACTTATGGCAATATGATTATTTATATAAGTGCAGTAAGAATATGCTTCTTTTGCAACAGGACACAATTGGAGAAACTAGTTATTTTATCAAGGCTTTGACTGAAATGTCATGCTTTCCTTTAAGGAATCAAAATTGACTTATAGAACCAATAAAGCTCCTTGGTAAAACAGACCTCATACCTTGTCTACACAGTCCCTGTATAGGATTCTTGACCTGTGGTAAGTAAAGAATATCACTTTCTAACAGGCCCAGGAGCCCCAAATTATCTTGCAATCTCAAGAGGAGAGAAATTTACCCAACTCATACAGGTATTTACTGGCATCAACCCATGGCTGGGAGTAACGCTTTGAAAAGTCTTATCTGAGTCCAGGCACAGTGGCTCACACCTGTAATCCCAGCATTTTGGGAGGCCAAGGCAGGCGGATCACTTGAGGTCAGGAGTTTGAGACCAGCCTGGCCAACATGGCAAAACCTGCTTGTCTACTAAAAATACAAAAATTAGCTGGGCATGGTGGTACACACCTGTAGTCCCAGATACTCGGGAGGCTGAGGCACAAGAATTGCTTGAGCATGGGAGGCAGAGGTTGCAGTGAGACAAGATCTTTCCACTGCACTCCAGCCTGGGTGACAGAGTGAGATTCTGTCTCAAAAAAAAAAAAAAAAAAAAAAAAAAAGTCATATGTGAGATTCCTTATGGAATGAAGTTCCATCAAAGCCAATTTAAAAAGGAGCCTGTATGTCAAATAATTATTCTTGCTGTGCTTTGTGCAAATAATCTGGCCAAGTATAAAAGACTAAAGCTTATTTTGCAAAGAAATCAGTCCTATCATGATATGTTATTAATGAAAATGAGAACTGAAGAGAGAAAAATTATGTTTCAAGAACTATGGTACACCTTTTATTATATTCTAGGGTCATCAGTTGCTTTTGAGTTTTTGTCTGTAATTTAGTTTAACACTGCTTATTCCTATGAACCAACCAGTGATCTCTGGCTGCAGCTCAGAAAAACACAGAGGAATGGGTAATGCAAAAATCTTGATCAATATTCTAATTCTGGGCTGGGTGCGGTGGCTCACGCCTGTAATCCAAACACTTTGGGAGGCTGAGGCAGGTGGATCACCTGAGGTCAGTAGTTTGAGACCAGCCTGACCAACATGATAAAACCCCTTCTCTACTAAAAAATATAAAACTTAGATAGGCGTGGTGGTGGGTGCCTGTAATCCCAGCTACTTGGGAGGCTGAGGCAGGAGAATCACTTGAGCCTGGGAGGCAGAGGTTGCAGTGAGCTGAGATCACACCATTGCACTCCAGCCTAGGCAACAGAGCAAGACTCCATTGCAAAAAAAAAAAAAAAAATATATATATATATATGTATATATATATATATTAGACAAGTGTGGTGGCAGGCCAGCACCAGGGAAAGACAGTTTCCCAATAGATAGAAACACCAGAAACTGGTGATCAGCAGCTTCCTGATAAGATCTCAGGAGTTGGGCGAGTGGACTCAAGCTTGTGCACTAAGAGGCAAAATGGCAGACTTTAATTGCTATATGACCTTCTTCTAGGAACACCCAACTGGTAAGAGAGGAACACCTCAAGTGAGCATGTATGTAACTTCAGTAAATACAGTGTGCATTTGGCCCCTCCCAGGTGCTAGCAGGCCACTGCAATGTGGATGGCTCACCCCAAGGGAAGAATCAGGGGAGATGTAACTCAACCCTGGAAGCATGCTAACATATAAGACTCCAAGTCAAAGGTCAAATTGCGCACTTGAATCTCTCAAGTTGCCCACTTTGCCCTCTTCCAAGTGTACTTTACTTCTTTTTATTCCTGCTCTAAAACTTTTTAATAAACTTTCACTCCTGCCCTAAAACATGCCTCAGTCTCTCCCTCTGCCTTATGCCCCTTGCTCAAATTCTTTCTTCTGAGGAGGCAAGAATTGAGGTTGCTACAGACTCATTTGGATTTGCCACTGCTAGCATGGTGAGGAAGGAAGTGTTATTTATTTGGTCCTTTTGAACCCCCAAAATATCATAATCATATCAATGCCTTCCTTTTTCATCCTCCTTCCCTCCTTCTATTCCTTTTGCATATCTTCTTTGGTGTAATGTCTATTCAATTCTTTTGCGCATTTAAAAATGGTGTTATTTATCCTTTTATTATTAAGTATTATAAGAGTTTTTGTGTATCCTGGATACAAGACTCTTTCTTTTATTGAGACAGAGTCTCGCTCTGTCACCCAGACTGGAGTGCAGTGGCATGATCTCGGCTCGCTGCAAGCTCTGCCTCCTGGGTTCATGCCATTCTCCTGCCTCAGCCTCCTGAGTAGCTGGAACTACAGGCGCCTGCCACTGTGCCTGGCTAATTTTTGTATTTTTAATAGAGACTGGGTTTCACCACGTTGGCCAGGATGGTCTGGATCTCCTGATCTCATGATCCACCCACCTCAGCCTTCCAAAGTGCTGGGTTTACAGGCATGAGCCACCACACCCGGCCCCAGATACAAGACTCTTAACAGATATATGATTTGCAAAAATTTTCTCCCATTCTCTGGGTTATTGTTTCATTTTTTGATGGTGTCCCTTGAAAAAAAATTTTTTTTTCATTTTAATGAAGTCCAATTTATCTATCTTTTCTTTGGATGTTTATGCTTCTGGTGAAATATCTCAAAACTATTGTCCAATCCACAGTCATGAAGATTCATACCTACGTTTTCTTCTAAGGATTTTAAAGTTTTAGCTCTTACATGTAGGTCTTTGATCCATTTTAACTTAGTTTTTTTGTATATGGTGTGAGGTAGGGGTCTAACTTTATTCTTGCTTGTAGTGATCCAGTTTTACAAGCACCATTTGCAATTAAGATCATTCATTGTCTCCTTTAATTTTCTTGGCATTCTTGTCCAAAACCAGTTGATTATAAATCTTAGGGTTTATTTCTGGATTCTCAATTTTATTACATTGATCTATATGTCTGTCTTTATGCCAATAGCATACTGTCTTAATTACTTCAGCTGTATAGAGCTGTATAGTCAGTTTTGAAATTGGAAAGTGTGAATTCTCTAACTTTATTCTTTTTTTTAATCAAGATTCTTTTGGCTATTCTGGGTCCCACATTTCTGTATAAATTTTAGGATCAGCAATGTCTACAAAAAAGGCGGGTTGGTTTAGATACAGATTTCACTGAATCTGTAGATCAATTTGGGTAGTATTGCCATCTTACAATATTAAGTCTTCCAATCACTGAACATGGGATGTTTTTCCATTATTTAGATCTCCTTTAATTTTTCTTTCTTTCTTTTTCTTTCTTTCTTTTTTTTTTTTTGAGATGGAGTCTCGCTCTGTCGCGCAGCTGGAGTGCAGTGGCTCAGTCTCGGTTCACTGCAAGCTTTGCCTCCCAGGTTCACGCCATTCTTCTGCCTCAGCCTCCCAAGTAGCTGAGACTATGGGCACCTGCCACCACGTCTGGCTAATTTTTTTTGTATTTTTAGTAGAGACAGGGTTTCACCGTGTAAGCCAGGATGGTCTTGATCTCTTGACCTCGTTATCTGCCCACCTCGGCCCCCCAAAGTGCTGGGATTACAGGCGTGAGCGACCACGCCCAGCCTAGATCCCCTTTAATTTTTCAACAATGTTTTATACTTTCCAGTACACAAATCTTGCACTCTTTTGTTAATTTTTTCCTATTTTATTATGTTTGATGCTATTGCTAATTGGATTGTTTTCTTACTTTCATTTTCAGAATGTTTATCGTTAGTATATAAAAATATAACTCTTGGCTGGGCACTGTGGCTCATGCCTATAATCCTAGCACTTTTGGAGGCCAAGGCGGGTGGATCACCTGAGATTAGGAGTTCAAGACCAGCCTGGCCAACATGGTGAAACCCCCGTCTCTACTAAAAATACAAAAATTTTCTGGGTGTGGTGGTGTGCACGTGTAATCCCAGCTACTCAGAGGCTGAGGCAGGAGAATTGCTTGGACCCGGGAGGCGGAGGTTGCAGTGAGCTGAGATCATGCCATTGCACTCCAGCCTGGGCAACAAGAGTAAAACTCCATCTCAAAAACTAAAATAAAATAAAAATAAAAAATATAAATATAAATATAACTCCTTTTTGTATATTAATCTTGTATCCTTTAACCTGTTTAAATTGTTTATTAGTTCTAATCATTCTTTCAGTAGATTCTTTGGGATAGTCCATGTAAAAGATTACGTCATCTGTGAGTAGAGATCATTTCACTTCTTTTTTAATCTGGAAGCTTCTTATTTTACTTTCTTCCTTACTAGCCTAGTATAATGTTGAATAGGAGTGGTGAAAGTGATCATCCTTGTGTTCTTCCTAATCTTAGAAGAAAGCATTCAGTGTTTTACCATTTAGAATAATGTTAGCTGTACATATTTTGTAAATGTCCTTTGTCAGATTGAGGAACTCCTCTTCTACTCCTAGTGTGTTGAGGACTTTTATCACAAAGAAGTGTTAGTTTTTTAATCAAATGCCTTTTTTGTGTCTGTTAAATGACTATGTAGTTTTTGTCCTTAATTCTATTAAGATGACATTGTTTTTGGATATTAAAACAACCTACAGTCTCACTCTGTCAACTTGAGGTTTTTAATTATTGTAATTATAAATAGATACCTCATTTAAAAAACTGGGAAGTACCAAAAGGCAGGAAGACATTGAACCATTTACAACCTGAACACAAGATTTTCGGGTCTGATTCCTTGGGATACAAATATCAGGTTCGTGCAAACGTAATTGTGGTTTTTGCATCTGAAAGTAATGGCAACGACCGCAAATACTTTTGTATGAACCTAATACATGAAAAGAAAAGATACATAAATAACCTCACAGGAATAACTGAGCATGTTTCACTAGTTCCTACTTAGTGTGTGAGAAAACAAACACAAACAGGTACACAAATAGCTTGAATATAAAATGGCACATATTGAGTGCTATAATCTCATTATGGGACTGCAGAAAGTGGACTACCCCTCTAGGACTCTGCTCAGGAGTGGTGTGCTGTCTGCCTACTTTGAGGTTGTTTTATTTCTTGGTCACTGCTCATCCTGTTCACCTTCCCTAAAATTTTCTTTTTCTTTTCTTTTTTTTTTTTTTTTTTGAGGTGGAGCCTTGCTCTGTTGCCCAGGCTAGAGTGAAGTGGCACAATCTTGGCTCACTGCAATCTCCGCCTCCCAGGTTCAAGCAATTCTCCTGCCTCAGCCTCCTGAGTAGCTGGGATTACAGGTGCGTGCCACCACACCCAGATAATTTTTGTATTTTTAGTAGAGACAGGGTTTTACCATGTTGACCGTGATGGTCTTGATCTCCTGACCTTGTGATCCACCCGCCTTAGCCTCCCAAAATGCTGGGATTACAGGCGTGAGCCACTGTGCCTGGCCTACTCCTAAGTATTTAACCAAGAGAAATGAAAGTTTATGTCCACACAAGGATTTGTATACACATATTTATAGCAACTTTATTTGTAATAGCTCCAAACTAGAAACAATTCAAATGTCCATCATAGGTGGATGGATAAATAAACTGTGCATCCATACAATTAAAACTACTCGACAACAGCCAGGCGCGGTAGCTCACGCCTGTAATCCCAGCACTTTGGGAAGCCGAGGCGGGCGGATCACAAGGTCAGGAGATCGATACCATCCTGACTAACACGGTGAAACTCCGTCTCTACTAAAAATACAAAAATTAGCCAGGCATGGTGGCGGGTGCCTGTAGTCCCAGCTACTCGGGAGGCTGAGGCAGGAGAATGGTGCGAACCCGGGAGGCGGAGCTGGCAGTGAGCCGAGACCACGCCACTGCACTCCAGCCTGGGTGACAGAGCCAGACTCTGTCTCAAAGAAAAAAAAAAAGAAAAAAAACTACTCAGCAACAAAAAGGAAGAAAGATACAAGCAACAACATGAATGAATCTCAAAATATTATGCTGAATGAAAAAAGCCAAAGAAAGAATATACTACATTATTTCATTTATATAACATTTTTGAGAATGTTAACTAGTCTATAAGACAGGAAGTCTGGAAGAACAGTGAAGGAGGAGAGGGATTCCAAAAGGACACCAGGAATCTTTTGAGGATGATGGATATGTTCATCATTCTGATTGTGGAGATGATTTCACAGGTAGATATATATATGTCAAAACTCATCAAATCATACACTTGAATATATGCAGTTTACTTACTATTAATTATACTTCAATAATGCTGTGAAAAATATTGTACTGAAGGATTGTAACAGTTAAGGTGCTTTAAGTTCCAATTTTTAAAAAACACAAAACTTCAACCTGCATAAACAACTAAAGAGAATTTCTTGACTCAGCATAATTGAAATGTCTAGTGTGGGCCTCATGCGTAGTTTGATCAGAGCACCAGCTCCATGTGTCTGTGAGCTTCTCTGCTCACTTCCTGATGTTGCTTTTATTCTTAGTGGGGTTTTTCTCGTGGTAACCAAATGGCTGTAGCAGTTGTAGGTCTCACATTCACATACCACACCTTCTGGGAAAACAGATACGTTTCCTTCCCCCAGTCATTGAACCAAAATCTCAAGTCTTAAGCATGATTGAATCAACTACGCTCTTGTGTCTGTCCATGAACCACTCCCTGTTGTCAGGGACTGGGAAATAGTCAACCCTCTAATAAATGACTGCTCACCAGTGAAGGAAGTGTGGAAAAGTTGCTGGAGAAGCAACCACCTGAAATGCAGAATATGGACCGGTAGATAAGGATGGGGCGGTCAGCATGGGAAAGGCTGGTTTGGATTAAAATAAAAGATGACTCTAAAGTTGTCATTTATGCCTTAAAATATGCTGTTGATATAAAAGAGAAATGTACTATATTTTGAAATGTTCAAATGTCAATAGAAGAAAGTTCCTGGCCAGGAGGGGTGGCTCATGCCTGTAATCCTAGCACTTTGGGAGGCCGAGGCAGGCGGATCCCCTGAGGTCAGGAGTTCAAGACCAGCCTGGCCAGCATGGTGAAACCTCATCTCTACTAAAAATACAAAAATTAGCCAGCCGTGGTGGCGAGTGCCTGTAATCCCAGCTACCCAGGAGGCTGAGGCAGGAGAATCACTAGAACCCAGGAGGTGGAGGCTGCAGTGAGCCGAGACTGTGCCACTGCACTCCAGCCTGAGCAACTGAGTGAGATTTTGTCTGAAAGAAAAAAAAAAGTTCTTTCCCTGTCAACTCTTTTGGGCATCCCTGTTGCATTCCCATTGCCTATTCTAATTCCCATACTTTTTGGGACATTCATTGAAGGAAGCTGTCATGTGGCTTTAGAGTCATTGGGAGCATAAACAACAGAATAGTCTTCTTCTAGATATAGGTTAAAATGGCCCCCCAAGATATTAGGCACCAAAAATTATTGGTGTTGGAAGTGGTACACGATAGAGAAAAAATGTGAGAAAAAGTTAGCAAAATATTGAGGGTAGAGGAAGAACCCCAAAGACCATTTTAAAAGAAGTTATGTTGTCCATGAATATGTAACATTGCACAGTAAATATAAAGAAAGTGATGGCGACAATAGCTAAATCTTCTAAGGGTTCTATGATGAAGTGGAAAAGAATGACAGCTTTACCTTTCACCTATTCTGTTTAAATATGCAAATTCCATCACACCATTGAATGCGTATGTCACATTGCCTAGGAACATATGCAACTTCTTATTTATGTCTTCTTTTTTTAAAAAGGCAATTTTTTTTGTTTTTTTAATTGAGATATACTTCACATTCAGTACAATTCAATTTTCGCCATTCTGAGTTCACAATATATAATATTCAGAGTTGGTGGTGTGTTGTCTTATGAGTCCTTTATTGCTCCTTTTTTTTTTTTGAGACAGTCTCACTCTGTTGCCTAGGCTGGAGTGCAGTCACACCATCACAGCTCACTGCAACCTCTGCCTCCCCACTTCAAGTGATTCTCCTGCCTCAGCCTCCTTAGTAGCTGGGATTACAGGTGTGCGCCACCATGCCTGGCTAATTTTTTTTTTTTTAGTAGAGATGAGGTTTCACCATGTTGCCCAGGCTGGTCTTGAACTCCTGTCCTCAGGTGATCCACCCACCTTGGTGTCCCAAAGTGCTGGGATTACAGGCCTGAGCCACTGTGCCCCACCCTTTATTGCTCTCTTAGAGAGTTAATGCTCTGTCTGTATTTCTGTTTTTCTTATACAGCTACATATACAAAGAATGTTTATTAATGGCTTTAGGATAATGATTTGATGAAGATGAAGATATCAATCACTTAAATCAGTTAAATAAACACACAGAACAGACAGTTACCATAGGGAGGGATTAATTTGAGATAACTTTTGTAGGTCAGATTTGTGGAGGAGGGAGAGTCTAAATGCAGTCTTTCTTGTAATATCATCTGAAAATGTTGAGACTCTCCAAGGCATTCCCACTTCCTGCTTCTTACTGTTGTCATCATATTTAACATGATCAGTGCAATGGACATCTGTGGCTTATGCCTACTCAGCACCCTTTTTTCTGGCAACAGCACCCATCTTCTCCCAGAGGAAAACCAATAGTCTCCCCTTCTCTGAGCCTGTGGCTCAGAATTGGTGGAGTGGGTGGGCAGAAGATTCAGGCCTGGCCAATCAATTCAACAGTCACCTGATGCATGTGACCCAAGCTGGGCCAACAGAAGTCTACTTAGGAATCTCGAGAAGACTACAGAAAACAGGCAGTGTCTTTCAGCTGAAGTTTTAAAGCTGATTGAATGGAAGCTTGCCCACCACAAGCCATCTTTGCCATCACATGCTGGCAGCCTTTCTGGGAATAAAGCTAATTCAGAGGGACCCCAAGCCAGAGATGGAGACAGATTTCTTTTTTTTTTTTTTTTTGGAGATGGATTTCTGATGATATCGCTTGAGTACCTAGATCCAATCAGATCTACCCTTAGTTTTTGGTTATGTGAGTCAATAAATCATCTTTATGCTTAATTCAATTTAAATTCAGTTTCAAAACTTGCAACTCAGAGTCTTGGCTAACACCACCACCATTAATCTGCATCACCATCTCCTCTCCTCCCTCTTGAAGCCAGAAGTAAAAGTCCACTTGCTTCCTGGAGCAGAACCTGAAATGATTGCAACATTCAGCCAGGTGAGTGCCCAGAGGAAGTCCAGGGTGGCAGTGTGGGGTGTGGTGGAGGAAGCTCTCAGGTGCTTCTGGAGCAGAGGTAACTCAAGGGCAGAGACCTGCCATTGAGACATAAGCTCTGGCTGCCCATTCCTGGAGCACTCATCTGTATTATTGCAGAACTCCCATTGCAAACGCTTTGTTGGGTACAGATTAAAATCTCTACTAAGTGCTTAGCTGGCACCCTGGAGGTGTATAATCAGAAACCATCATTCCTCTTAAAGCTTCATGTTTGCATGCAAACATTCATTTAAATAGCTCAGGCCTCAGGGTCATAATGCAATTCTAAACTCTTGTCCCAGGACCTGCCCAGTTTTGTGGATGCAAATATTGCCACTGAAAATAGTCCAAAAACAGCATCCAAGATTTTCCACAAAAGTAGGATCAGAAACCCAGGGAGAGAATTAGTCTATTTCACTTACTCTATTAGATTAGGAATAATGAAAGGGGAAAGAGCAGACGCATTTCTTGTAAATCAAGACTGAAAGCTCTACAAGTGCAAATACCATGTTTCTTTCTATTTGTCATTGTATTTGCAGTACCCAACATGATGGCCAGCAAAAAATACTTGTGTGATTGGCCTAATAGATAAATGAATGAATGAAGCAAGAAAAGTTTGAAAAGGGAAGACCAGGCCAGGCATGGTGGCTCATGTTTGTAATCCCAACACTTTGGGAAGCCAAGGTGGGTGGATCACTTGAGGTCAGGAGTTCAAGACCAGCCTGGCCAGGATGGCAAAACCCCGTCTCTACTAAAAATACAAAAATTAGCTGGGCATGGTAGCATGCACCTGTAATTCCAGCTACTTGGGAGATACAAGAATCGCTCAAACCCAGAAGGCAGAGATTGCAGTGAGCTCAGATCACACCACTACACTCCAGCCTGGGCAACAGAGTGAAGTTCCATCTCAAAAAAGAAAAAAAAGAAAAGAAAGAAAGAAAAAGAAAAGGGAAGACCAAATGATGCTCTCAGAGTCAGGTTCAAATAATACCTCTGCATCATCTATCTCTGGTTTTTGTGCAAAAGCAGATTACTTCTGAAGGGCCCTTTCCATTCCATCTTGTGGTTCTTCTTTTTTTTCTTTTTTCTTGAGATGGGGTCTTGCTATGCTGCCCAGGCTGGTCTTGAACTCCTGCGCTCATGTGTTCCTCCTGCCTCAGCCTCCTGAAGAGCTAAGATTACATGTGCCTACCACAATACACAACTCTATCTTGTGATTCATCTGCAGCCTTGACTGATATAAAGGACATTGGCCATTTCTGCCTGCCCAGTGTCCATTCCCTTTTTCTATTAAGTCCCCCATTTCCCTTTGGGAAATCATCTCTTCTCATTTAACGTACTCTTCTTAAGAGGGTGTGTCTTGGTAAGCACCTCCCATCATGAAAGGTGAAGGACACTTTTTCCTTTTGTTTGCACCTTTTAGGACCAGTGCGACGTAAACTCAAACAAGCAGATATTCTCTCCAGTATTTGACTCTTGACCAAGTGACCCAACAATGGAAGGGGTAGTTAGAAGTCATTTATTTTGGCAGGGGTGTTGCTAAGAGAAAAAATTCAAAGAAATTAAATTTAGACCGGGCACAGTGGCTCGCGCCTGTAATCCTAGCACTTTAGGAGGCCTAGGTGGGTGGATCGCCTGAAATCAGGAGTTCAAGACCAGCCTGGCCAATGTGGTGAAACCCTGTCTCTATTAAAAATACAAAAATTAGCCAGGTGTGGCGGCGGGAGCCTGTAATCCCAGCTACTTGGGAGGCTAAGGCAGAAGAATCACTTGAACCCAAGAGGCAGAGGTTGCAGTGAGCCGACATCGTGCCATTGCGCTTCAGCCTGGGCAACAGGAGCGAAACTCCATCCTAAAAAAAAAAAAAAAAGAAAAGAAAAGAAAAGAAAAGAAAAAAAGAAATAAATTAAATTTAACAGAATTTAACTGAGCAAATAATGATCCTCAAATTGGGCAGCCCCCATCCAGAATCAGAAGGTTCAGAGAGATTCCAGCACTGTCACATGGTGAGACAGGATTTATGAATAGAAAAAGGAAAGCAACATACAGAAAACAGAAGTGAGACACAGAAACAGTTGGAATGGTTATAGCTTGGCATTTGCCTTATTTGAACACTGAACAGTTGGCTGCCTGTTGAGTGGTTGAAGTATGGCTTCTGTGATTGCCTGAGGCTTGGCTACTTGTTTGGGTTTTTTGTTTGTTTGTTTTTGTTTTTGAGACGGAGTTTTGCTCTTATTGCCCAGGCTGGAGTGCAATGGCGCGATCTCGGCTCACTGCAACCTCCACCTCGCGGGTTCAAGCGATTCTCCTGCCTCAGCCTCCCGCCCGCCACCACGCTGGATAATATTTTTGTATTTTTAGTAGAGATGGGGGTTTCACCATGTTCGCCAGTCTGGTCTCGAGCTCCTGACCTCAGGTGATCCGACCCCCTCGGCCTCCCAAAGTGCTGGGATTATAGGTGTGAGCCACTGCACCCGCCAGCCTCCTTCTTTAACATCCATTCTAAGCTATTGCTATTTGTCCTTTTCACTCCCGGGTTCTATCTCCTTGTAGTGAACACTGTTAGGGTTGTTCCTCCCTTCTCTGCTATGATTCTTCCTTGTCTATAACTGATTCCTCCCCTCCAGCAGTTTGACCTTGTGCTCTGGCCATTGCGATTGGTCAGATTTACCCATCCTCACCATAAGCTAGGCCAATCAGATTTCTTTTTCCTGAGAGTGTAGAAGTTTGACCTCATGAATATGAAAGTTGTAGGTTGTTGAGAGCTAAGCACCAGAAGTGGTTTGGTTAGGAGGAAGGAAGGTCTATAATTTTCTGCTGCTGAGGTTTAGGATTTTCCTGAGTGCCAACACTTCCCTGTCTTCAGGAGAGTTCCAATAAATTTACCTTTCTTGAATAAGTTTTTTAAAATTGGCTTATGTTATCTGCAACCAAAGAACCTCAATTAACACAGTCTCCATGTGATAGAAGGTTCCTTGGAGACAAGGCCAAAATTTTTTTTTTTTTTTTTTTTTGAGACAGAGTCTCTCTCTGTCACCCAGGCTAAAGTGCAGTGGCACAATCTCGGCTCACTGTAACCTCTGCCTCCCAAGTTCAAGCAAGTCTTGTGCCTCAGCCTCCAAGTAGCTGAGATTACAGGCATGTGCCACTACGCCCGGCTAATTTTTGTATTTTCTGGAGAGACGGGGTTTCACCATGTTGGTCAGGCTGGTCTCGAACTCCTGGCCTCACGTGATCCATCTACCTCGGCCTCCCAAAGTGCTGAGATTACAAGTGTGAGCCACCATGTCCAGCCAAGGCCAAATTTTAATTCATTTATCCATTTATGCATTCATCAAACATTTATTGAGCATTTGCTATGTGACAGACACGTGGTAGGTACTGGGAACCCAAAGATAAATTAGACAATCCCCTCAACTCACCAAGCTTGTTGCCTAATTGTAAGTATAAATGTATTCAATCAATCATTCATTCACTTAATAAGTACTTCATTTATCCAATGAATAATTACCAACACTCATTTAATATTATGTAACAGGTCTTGGCACTAAATGCTTTTGTTAATTCTCCAACTCTATGAGGTATATCCCATTTTACAGAAGAAGTACCTGAGTCATAGAGAGGTTAGGCAGCTTTGCCTAAATCATAAGGATTCTAGGTGCTGAAACCGGTCTTCAATTATGGTATATCTGACTGCAGAGCTCTTGCTTCTAAGCATTGTGTAACCTCCCTCTCAAAGAATCTCAAAGCAGTGTGATACATGCTTACACAGGTGTGTATAAAGCTCACAGAGGAGAAAGCAACTAATTTTGTGGGGAGGTTGGGGTTCAAAACAGGCTTCACAGTTGAAGTGGTTTGAGCAATCTTGAAGGAAGAGAAGGGTTGTCTTCCTGGTGCCTAGCACAGAACTTTGCATATGAACACTGTAAAATGATGATTAAGCGGCTTATGTTTCTGGAAGGAGTTGTTTTCCTGTTTACATGGAGTCTGGGGTGTTTCCTACTGCCTACTGCAGCATCATTTTTGTGATTTAGCAATGGCATGTGAAGTAATCAGATCATCTGTATATCACTGATGCTCACAGAAGCCTGTAAGGTAAGTAGTACAGGTACACACTTTGTAAGATGAGTGAGGAAACCAGGGCTGAGTTTGCATTACTTGTCCAAGACTATACATAGTGAGTAAGTGGCGGAACAAGACAAGGGGCCAGCCCCCTGAGGAGGGATCGGCTAACAGGACTCCTCAAATCTAGCCAGACTCCTTTACTCCTCTTAGCCTGCAGGTGAGGCTTTGATCTTTCTAGACTCGACACCCGAGTTTCTGAAGGTTTCCTCAGAACACCCTCCCCATCCTTCTCAGTTCCAGCTCTCCAAGTCCCGCTCATCTTCCAAGATCTGTCTCATTGCACATCTTCCTCGCAAGCCTTCTCCAGAGTCATTCAGCTCACTCCCTAAGCTTCAGTTAAATCCCTTAGCCCTGCTTCCATCCAGATTCCTGCCCTGAAAACTTTCTACCTGGTTAGACTCATCACTGCCATTCAGCTTCCCTCATCAGAACTCCTGTTGCCTAATCTCTCCAGCCTTAGGTTGGTCTTTAACTATTGTTTTCTTTCTATGTGTATATCTTGTCTCTCACTGAAATGTAAGCTCCATGAAGCACAGCCACATGTTTCCTTTTTAGCCTTATACATACAGATGTATATTCACTTTGGGATCAATAGTGTTTGTCAACTCAAATAGGATGTGTGGGATGAATGATCCCACCTTCTGTTAGATTATTCAGCTCCTAAGTCATGCAAAACCAATACCTTGTGGACCTCCTTTCTAAAGCTCCTGCAGGGTGGGGAAAGAATGCACGGATTCTCATAGGTGCATTTAGCAATTACTAGTAACCAACACTTAATGAATGCTTACTAATTGCTAGGTCCTGTACAAAATACATTACATACATAAACTTATTCAATCTTCACGACAACTATTATTGTCCCCACTGAACAGATGAAGACACATAGAGGTCACTCAGCTAGTAAGTGGCGCAGCTAGGATTTAAAACCCAGACCGACTCCAGAGTCCATACTCTCAATTATGATACTAAATTCTTTATGGATAACAGAAAGTCTCTAATTGTAATGTAGATCAATTTCCTTGCTTTCTAACCCCATGGGAAGATGGAACTAAAAGGGTGAGAAAATAATATTTATTATACTCCTACTATAAGCCTAGTATTATAAGAGGTGCATAATGGGTTAATGATATAATTCTTGCTGTAAGTCTATGAAGCAGGAAGTATTAACTCCATTTTAAAGAATTTGGCTTCTAAAGTGGTTAAACACAGTGCTCAAGTTTTAGCTTCCAGTTATTGGCAGAGTTGGAATTAGACCAGGTTTTCTAACTTTGAAGGAAAGACTTAATTTAAAGGAGACTGTATAGAAAACCCTGCCAAGGGCAAATGTGAAGGGCACGTGAAAAGGCATCTGAATTATTACTTATAATAATTCAGAAATAGTGAATGTGTGGCGCATATTGAAGAATGATGAGAGATTGTCAAAAAATCTATTCTATAAACACTCACAGAGGAATCAGCTAATTAAATAAGCGAGCTGCCTGTCTTGGGCTAGGACATAAACTCCAAAACTTCCCACGAGGCAAGGGCAAAGAGGGCGCCACCTGTCCTGGAGAACCTGGGAACCCGCTCTAGAGACTTCGGCTCAGCCCCTTTTATTTCCTCACACTCTAATTGGCTACTTTTCCCTGGGCTCCGCCTCCTCCTCGGTCTGGACCATTAAACAGGCAAGCCCTACCCCGGACCTGGATGCGGCCTCCAATCAGGTGCCAGGCCCTGGAGTCCCTCTAGAGAAGCCCCCTCTCCACCGGCGAGGCGCTTTGCTCTCGTCCGTGATTGGCCAGGCAGCAGCATGGGGTCCGCCTCCTTCTCTTCCAGATTGGTCAGCGGTCCTCAGGACCACATCCCTCTCGGCAGGTCCCCGCCGCTTTTTCCCTTCGCTGCGTGGCCTTGGCCGAGACCGGTCCTCTGCGGAGAGGGCCCCGCCCTCTGTGAAGGCCCGCCCGGGAATTGGCGGCGGCGCTGCAGCCATTTCCGGTTTCGGGGAGGTGGGTGGGGTGCGGAGCGGGACTTGGAGCAGCCGCCGCCGCTGCCACCGCCTACAGAGCCTGCCTTGCGCCTGGTGCTGCCAGGAAGATGCGGCCGGAGCCCGGAGGCTGCTGCTGCCGCCGCACGGTGCGGGCGAATGGCTGCGTGGCGAACGGGGAAGTACGGAACGGGTACGTGAGGAGCAGCGCTGCAGCCGCAGCCGCAGCCGCCGCCGGCCAGGTACGAGGGGCCCGCGCGGCGGGGCCGGGGTGGCGGTGTGGACTGGCGGAGGGGCGGCCGGGCGGGGCGAGGTCTCCGGGCCATCCGCTGGGCAATCCGCGGGGCGGGCGCCGTTCGCAGGTGTGGGCGGCAGTGTCCGGCCGCTGGCCCGACCTCCACGAGCCTGGAGGCTCAAGGACGGCTCGGGGGCTCCCCACCTCTCCGCGCCTGGAGGTCTTACTCCCGGAGCTCTGGGTTCTGCTCAGAGCTCCGGGTACTTTTCTCTGCCCCATTCTGCCAGAAGTGTGTGCTGTCCCCAGGGGAAGCGATGAGGGGCCCTTCGGACTCCAGTGGGAGCCGCCCAAGGGCTCCGGAGGGTCCCTTCTCAAACCCCTGAGGTTATTGCTTCCTTTTAAAGTCCTGCAGTCGTCCAAAGAAAACCACCCATGGGGTCCTTAAGAAGCAAAGAAAATTAGGCGGTGGTGTCAGATGGAAACACACCCAGCCTCTCCCAACCACATTCTGGACTACCACGTTCAGTCCCCAACCAGGACATTGGTCCATAGATCTGGCAGGGAATCCAAGCTGGTCCCTCGAAAGCATCATTCTCTTAACTCTGCCGGTGGTGAGACTCTACCCCAGGCTCCAGGTTGGATTAGGTGGCCCCTTCGACCCTTTCCTGAACACGAGTGCTATCACACAAGGGGATTGTTTAGCCTGGTGGTGACTTGCGATGACTCTATACTAATTAACCATGCTGAATCATCAACCAAGTTCAGGCAGTTCTAAAATATTTTGAAAAGTTCTAAATTCAAGACAATGCTTATTATCAACCTTACAGTGGTCTGGACTGACAGATATTCTGTTGAAATGTGTTTTTAAAGATGAGCTGGTTAAAAAGATGCAAGATCGGTGTTCCTGGAAGAGAGTGTTGCGATAATTTTGCAGTTGACTTTAATACGTTTAAGTCTTGTACAGATATTAAGGAACGCTTAGAAAGTACTCTGTTTCCCTTTAGCGGGAGTGTGACTGTTGCAGTTTGATAGGATGGTGATCTTAATTTGGCTTTAACATAACTACTCCCCAGATGAGTAGTTATGATGGATAGGTCTGTTACTGTTTGCTGCGAAGCAGAAAATAAAGCATTTTTCCAGGTCATGTTGAGATATTGAGACTGAGTTGAGGGGAAAAATAAGTAAAGCAGACTTGACCTCCCCTGAAGTTGTAAGGTGTCAAAGCGAAGTAATACACAGATCAAAAGATTTGTTTTCACTTTTAAAGAAATAATTGTGTGAGGGAGGAAGTGATAACAGTCAGCTCATTATAAGCAGTGGAATAGTTTGTCGTTTTCCTAGCAATGTAAACGACTTATAAGACAAAATTGTTGTGGTATAGAATGTAATAGGGAAATTTAACGGGTAGGAGTTAGAAAATACATTTGCAGGTGAATTTCATTGAGGTATGATTTTTTTTTTGTTTTTGTTTTTGTTTTTTTTTTTCAGACAGTTTTGCTCTTGTCACCCAGGCTGGAGTGCAATGGCGCGATCTCGGCTCACTGCAGCCTCCACCCCCTGGGTTCAAGCGATTCTCCTGCCCCAGCCTCCCGAGTAGCTGGGATTACAGGCGCCCGTCATCACGCCCGGCTAAATTTTGTATTTTTATTAGAGATGGGGTTTCACCATGTTGGCCAGGTTGGTCTCGAACTCCTGACCTCAGGTGATTGGCCTGCCTTGGCCTCCAAAAGTGCTGGGATTACAGGCGCACCAGGCCGAGGTATGATTTTTTTTGTTTTTTTGGTTTTTTTTGAGATGGAGTCTCGCTCTGTCGCCCAGGCTGGAGTGCAGTGGCGCGATCTCGGCTCACTGCAAGCTCTACCTCCCAGGTTCACGCCATTCTCCTGCCTCAGCCTCCCAAGTAGCTGGGCCTACAGGCACCCGCCACCACGCCCGGCTAATTTTTTGTATTTTTAGTAGATACGGGGTTTCACTGTGTTAGCCAGGATGGTCTTGATTTCCTGACCTCGTGATCCGCCTGCCTCGGCCTCCCAGAGTGCTGGGATTACGGGTGTGAGCCACTGCACCTGGCCGGTATGATTTTTTAAAATGAAAAAGGAAGTCAAGAGAAAGGTGTTCACACTTCAGCGTTGCTTTGTGTTCAAATGCTTCTTTCAATCCCTATGAGTTATGTTCAGATTTAGTAGGAAATCAAGGACCTTTCTCCCATAATCTCTAACAATTTAGCATTTATAGAATGATATTTCTTCAGAGCTTGCCAACTAATAAGGTGAAGAAATATCAAGGTACTAACATGACATTTTAAAATCTGTATGAATAACATTTGGTTGACTTTTGGGGACATGTTTTGTAAAAGTTTCACTCAAGGCACATTGGTGGCATTTGGAAGAACGGTCTGTTGGAATGCTGTGAGGGCTGCAGTATCCCTTCTAGAAAACTACTTCTCACCAGTATTTTTAATACAGACTTCAGATCTGGAGCTTTCTACACTCTCAGATGGAGGAATATTGTCTGTGAATATTTTTCTTTCTTATACAAAAGAGAGATCTTGGTAACTACATGAGAGCAATACAATATCTTAACATTTTTTAAAAGTTGTTTTCATTTTTAATTAAAGCGATGTGCTTGTGCTCCAACCTCTACCTATCTTTCCCCTCTTTCTGGGGGGGAAATGTTGCCAACTGTGCCATCAAAAATACGCATACAGCTGTGTGTCATGCTTTTACTAAAATATGAATTTAGAGTATAACATTGTTGAGATGTAAATTCTTTTCCTCACATCTCCCACCATGTCTTTTAATGAACAGGAGAGAAGTCAGAAACGTCTAGGATCACTTTACACTCTCAAGAGTATGTTTCTGTGCTTGAAGAGATGAATGAATGTGTATAGTAAAAGAACAACTCTTGGATTTGGGTTTAGAATTTGATGAGCTAGATGCTGTGTTAAGGAGTTATGAAACAATCACACATTGCTGTTTAGTGATGACAGTAGACACACAGTTTTCACAATAGTAACAGTTGAACAATAGAGCAGTAATTTTTCCTCTCTGCTATTCAGATGAGTGGGAGGAGCACAAACCTTTATTTGAGGTAAGGTGTGGCAATTTGCCCGAGGGAAACTTTTACATTAGCATTGGAAAGAACCTTTGGGAGTTTATTTAATTCAGTCCTTTATCTCTTTGTAGGAGTTTATTAAAATCAGTCTTGATAGAAAATTCTGTACTGTTTTTAAAGATCTCCAGGGGATTTGCAGCAAGTTTTTCTCTATAGCAAATTGGATTATTATTCCATGATCTTAATTACCAAATTTCTTCCTGTGGATTTAACATTTGATGAAATAAATGCCATGTTTTGGTTGCACCTGAAATATAGTAGTTTGTTTGTGTGTTTGTTTTTAAAACTTCACGTTAACAGCTCTTTTTAAAAGAGCTTCCATTTCTTTATAGAAGTTTTGAGATTTAGGTTTTCCTTTTACTTTCCTGAGTTAGTTAATAAGTGTGAAAGAAAAAAAGTTATCTACCTTTGAGACAGTTTTGACCCTAACTTTTTTCCCTTTGGGTGTAGTTTTAATGAGATATTAGAAGGATGAGAGCTCTCTGGCTTACAGAATAAAAAATTCTATCTCAAGGAATTGGGGCAAAAGTTGTGTTCTTATGTTAAATAATAAGCAAAGTAGAAAGAACAAAGTGTTAGTCTTGCTTCTTAGGAGGAGGCAAATAAATAACTAATAAAGCTGGTTTACTAAATAGCTACTAGCTTTTGTTTCCACTGAGGGAGAAACAGTAACTGGGGGTTTATATGTGATAGTTAAGGAAAAGGAGACGATAGTTATGAGGCTAGAACAGTAGAAATAGTTAGAATAGTCATATATCTATTTAGATTTAGCAGATCCTGATAAGATACCTCAGATACCTGAAGGCTTTTCAGAAATAATGTAATTTACAACTTGGAGGACAAGATTTTCATTTCAGTTTTCACTCTAAGGGGAAGCATATCTTGATTCTTACATAGCTGCATCTGAAGAATTCCAGAGTTATTTGAGATACTCAGGAATTTTCTTTAACAGGAATTCTTGGGAAATGTGTAAGCAGCTATGTTCTTAAGATAGTATTTTAGAACTAGGATGTTCAGAAAAGTCAGACTTGCCCACTTTTTAGGGTTTGCCCATGTGCCATAGAAATTTGCACCGCTTTGAGCAAGACAGTTAATTGGTTGATTTAATTAGATTCAGTTTTTGGAAGAAAGAAGCAGTGTTTATTGGTAGAATAGGCAATTCAGAGGGATGGGTAGAGGCACTGTTTGCATTCTGAGTGGGTGTGCCATACTTGATTAAATAAATGGTTTGTGGACTCAAAGTCAGTTCCCTTCTGGGTAGTTTCTGAGAAGCTTCTGTAATATAATTCACAATTTGTGACCGATAAAAAAGTAAGTCCTTTGCTCTTGACCCATTTACTGTTAGAAAATTTATCTTAAGTTTGTCTTTAAGACTACTTTTTATTGCAAAGCTTGAGGCAGCTATTCTTCCTTTTTTAAAAAAATAATTTTTACTTCTCATTATAGAAATAATACATGTTTAATGTGGGATCATAAAACATTGAGATAATCTCTGCGTTAGGTTTTTTTTTTTTTGAGACGGAGTCTCACTCTGTCGCCCAGGCTGGAGTGCAGTGGCGCCATCTCAGTTCACTGCAGCCTCCACCTCCCGGGTTCAAGCGATTCTCCAGCCTCAGCCTCCTGAGTAGCTGGGATTACAGGCATGCGCCACCACGCCTGGCTGATTTTTGCATTTGTAGTAGAGACAAGGTTTCACAGTGTTGGCCAGGCTGGTCTCGAACTCCTGACCTCAGGTGATCCACCTGCCTCCGCCTCCCAAAGTGCTGGGATTACAGGCGTGAGCCACCACGCCTAGCCGGAGGTTTGTTTTTTAATGTGGTCTATTGTAAATCCATCTGCTACTTTCCGTTAATTTCTTTTCTTTCTTTTTTTTTTTTTTTTTGGCGAGATAGGGTCTCGCTCCAGCCTGGCCTGCAGTAGCACAGTCATAGCTTACTGCGGCCTCAACTTCTCGGGCTCAAGCGATCCTCCCATCTCAGCCTCCCAAGTAGCTGGGTCCACAGGTGTGCACCACTACAGTGGGCTAATTTTTTTTTTTGAGACAGAGTCTTGCTCTGTCACCCAGGCTGGAGTGCAGTGGCGCGATCTTGGCTCACTGCAAGCTCTACTTCCCAGGTTCACACCATTCTCCTGCCTCAGCCTCCCGAGTAGCTGGGACTACAGGTGCTCACCAACACACCCGGCTAATTTTTTTTTTTTTTTTGTATTTTTAGTAGAGACAGGGTTTCCCCATGTTAGCCAGGATGGTCTCGCTCTCCTGACCTTGTAATCCGCCTGCCTCAGTCTCCCAAAGTGCTGGAATTACAGGCTTGAGCCACCATGCCTGGCCTTTTTTTTTTTTTTTTTTTGTAGAGATGGGTCTTACTATGTTCCCCAGGCTAGTCTCTTTTTTACTTAAACAAACAAACAAAAATAAATAAAAATATATATATATAAAGAGAGAGGGAGACAGAGAGAGAGGGAGACAGAGTCTCACTATGTTGCCCAGGCTGATCTCAAACTGTTGGGTACAATCGATCCTCCTGCCTTGGCCTCCTGAAGTGCTGAGATTATAGGTGTGAGCCACCGCACCCAGCCACCCAGGCTGGTCTCAGACTCCTGACCACAAGCATCCTCCTGCTTCAGCCTACCAAAGTGCTGGGATTACAGCCACTGTAGCAGACTATTTTGTGATAATTTCTAAGTACAGTGAAATATGCGGTTGTACTGATACTATGGGTGTGATCCAGTCTTACTCCAAAAAATAGGTATTAAGGGCTGGGCACAGTGGCTCATACCTGTAATCCCAGCACTAAGGGAAGCCAAGGTGTAAGGATTGCTTGAGCCCAGGAGTTCAAGATCAGCCTGGGCAACGTGGCGAGACCCCATCTCTATTTAATTAAAAAATAATAAGGTATATGACCAGGTACCGTGGCTCACGCCTGTAATCCCAGCACTTTGGGAAGCCGAGATGGGCGGATCACTTGAGGTCAGGAGTTTGAGACCAGCCTGGCCAACATGGTGAAACCCCGTCTCTACTAAAAATGTAAAAATTAGCCGGGTGTGGTGGTGTGTGCCTATAATCCCAGCTACTCTGGGAGTCTGAGGTAGTAGAATCGCTTGAACCCAGGAGGTGGAAGTTGCAGTGAGCCAAGATGGTGCCACTGCACTTCAGCTTGGGCGACAGTGAGACTCTGTCTCAACAAAACAAAACAAAACAAAACCTCAGTTAGATACCATTTCACACCACTAGGATTGCTAAAATAATAAACCAGGTATTAAGTGTTCATGAGGATATAGAGAAATTAGAATCCTGATACATTGCTGGTGGGATTATAAAATGATGCAGCCACTTTAGGAAACAGTTAAACATAGAGTTAGCATGTGGCCCAGTAATTCTACTCCCAAGAAAAATGAAACATATGTTCCTGCAGAAACTTGTATATTAATTATAATAGCAGCATTGTTGATTGATTGATTGATTGATTCAGGGTGTTACTGTTACCCAGGCTGGCAGGACATGGCTCACCGCAGCCTCCACCTCCTGGGCTCAATCAATCCTCCCACCTCAGCCTCCCAAGTATCTGGGACTGCAGGCATATGCCACCATGAGTGGCAAAATTTTTTTTTTTTTGAGACAGAGTCTCACTCCGTTGCCCAGGCTGGGGTGCAGTGTGGCTCACTGCAACCTCCACCCCACTGGTTCAAGCAGTTCTCCTGCCTCCGCCTTCCGAGTAGCTGGGACTACAGGCACATGCCACCACGCCCAGCTAATTTTTTATATTTTTAGTAGAGATGGGGTTTCACCATGTTGGTCAGGCTGGTCTCAGACTCCTGACCTAAGTGATCCATCCGCTTCGGACTTCCAAAGTGCTGGAATTACAGGCGTGAACCACTGTGTCTAGCCCCACGTTATTTATAATAGCCAAAAAGTAGAAACAATCCAAATGTCTATCAACTGATGAGTAGATAAAATATGGTATATCCATATAAAAGGATATTATTCAGCAATACTACTGAAGGAATGCAGTACTAATACATGCAGGAGAATACTACATTGTTTATGGCCATGTGTTTATATAGTGAAAGTATTTAAAAATACAGGGGAATGATAAACACCAAATTCCCAATTCTTCTGAGGAGGAAAGGAAATATAGCATTTCCCCAGGACAGACTTCTTAAAAGGATTGGAGAACTACTTAAACATGTCAGATCTTGACACTGTCCTGATGGCCTCCTGTCACTAATAACAGAATACAAAATGGGGTTTACAAGGCCCACCATGAACTTTCCCATCCCTCTCTGACTTCATATCCTGCCAGGTCACTGCTTTCTAGCCAATCCGGGCTTTCTGATGTTCCCCAAACACATTGCCATCAAGCACCCCTCCCTGGGGCCTTATTATTATTATTATTATTATTATTATTATTATTATTATTATTTTGAGATGGAGCCTCAATCTGTCACCCAGGCTGGAGTGCAGTGATGTGATCTCGGCTCACTGCAACCTCCGCCTCCAAGTTCAAATGATTCTCCTGTCTCAGCCTCCCAAAGTGCTGGAATTACAGGCGTGACCTACCACGCCTGGGGTCCCTGGGGCTTTAGCCTTTACAGTTACCTCAGCCTGGAAAGCTTTTTCACAGAGTTCTCTTCCCTACTCCAAGTCCATCTGCTTACACCTTACCTCCACCCTGTTTAAAATGCTCTTTTTCCACGATTTTATTCTGATTGTAGCAGTGTGATCTGATACAGTATATCTATTTGCTTATCTGTTGTCTGCCTCTCTCACAGGAGTGTATTTCTAGTGCTCAGATCATGCCTAGCTCATAGCAGGGACTCAATAAGTATTGAATGAATAACTTTAATGTTTTATTTAATGGAAAAAAGATCTAAAGCATATAAGCTAAATCTTAAGTTTTGATAAAGCTAGATGTTGAATACAGTTTTATTTCTATTTTTTTGATGATAATTACTGTGTCATATTTCATACATACTCTGCTGGTTGACAAAAACTAGCTCCCTAAAATAATGTTACAGACATAAGTAAGAAATGGATTGTGGTGACACATAAGCTGTTAAAGAAACCCGTAGCCTAATTTATAGTGTATCAGGTTTGCAAGTGGTTTAAAACAATAGCGGTTTACTGAATGTTCTTACTAGCGTGAGGGGAGAGCTTGTGAGAAGTAGGAAGAGGCCAGAGAAGGTCCTGGGGTCTGGCACACTCTGATATGCTTCATCACCTCTCCCTAAGCTCTCCCTACAGGGCAGTGGGGCCAGTGGTGACTTTTGCGGCACCCTCTCCATTGTCTTACCAAGGGCTTCAGCTGTGAGACGCCGGTTGGTGCTACAAGGAAGGGGAAACGTGTCAGCTCTTTCCTCTGCTCTTTTCTCACATTGATTTCAAATGCCAAGAAGCTGGGCTGAGAAACCGGGCTTGTGATCCTGGTTGTACTGCAGTCCACCATGTGCTGGAGAGCTCTGCAGGTTGTGCTAAAGGGTAGTGTCTTTATTGCCTCCTGTATAAGCTTGACTTTTACATAGGCAAGCAGGTTATTTCCAGGACAACTAAATTAGTTGGTGCGAAACCTCATTTCCTAGAAACCCATTTTCTTAGTAGAGGAAACCCATATAACCATTTGTCTCCATGTAAGTGTAGCTAATAACATGAATAACAAAAATAGCTAATTATTTAAATAGCAAAAATAAGTATGGAAGATGAATTTGCAGTAAAATTCTAATATTAAGCCACTGATTATTTTAAAACAATCAGATTAAGTTGTAGTACCTCTGAAATAATTAAAGGAAAATTTGATTCTTAGAAAATCTCAATTCATTGGAAAGCCATGGAATTAATAAAATAAAAAAAGAAAATCTCAGGCAATATAAACTAAGGAATGGCAAATGGAAAATGTATTGATTGGTGGAAAAGTAATTGCGGTTTTTGACATTGAAAGTAATTACTTTTGCCATTACTTTTAATGGCGGAAACCATTTAATGGCAATTACTTTTGCACCAACCTATAAATAATTGGACTCTAGTTCCAACTTTGATATTTAGCTTTCCCATGACTGTTGACAAATTGCTTAATCTACTTTCCTTGATTTTGTCAGTCAAATGAGGAGGAAGAGACAGCTTGAGAAACATTTGTAAGAGAAATGCTTATTACTTTGTATGTGTTTTTCGTCTTACATATTAAATATAAATTCCTTTAGGTGATATTCTTTAAAATGATTTCCTTACTTCCTTTTATATTTACATCCATTTTCTCTTAAAAAAACAAACAAACAAAATACTGCACAATTCTTGAAGACAAGGATTACCTCTTACCTCTTATTTGTTTCATGAAATATAGAGTACAATTTTTTTTTTTTTTGAGATGGGTCTTGTTCTATCACCCAGGCTGGAGTGCAGTGGCGCCATCATGGCTCACTGCAGCTTCAACCTTCTGGGCTCAGGAGATCCTCCTATCTCAGCCTCCCCAGTAGCTGGGACTACATTCATGCACCACCACATCCGGCTAACTTTTGAAAATGTTGTGTAGAGATAGGGTTTCACTATGTTGTCCAGGCTGGTTTTAAACTCCTGGGTCCAAGCAATCCTCCCGCCTTGGCCTCCCAAAGTGTTGGGATTACAGGCGTGAGCTCCTGTGCCCAGCCTAGAGTACAGTTCTTGACATATAGATAGAAATTAAGTATTTGTAGAATGAGTGGAAAAAAAAATGAAATGATTATGTTGATTTTGAGTTTCTCGGTGGAATAGGGCTTTGGATTCCTAGAAGAGACTTTAATGTTGAAAAATTATTTTTGTAGTTTTGAAAATGTTAAAAAATTGAACATGAGAAATCTCCACTTCTCTGGGCATGTGAAATTAAAGGGAGGGATGATCAAGTTGTGAGAGATTCCCTAGGCCAGCAGTGCTGATGCAAGAAGGTGAACATGTAGACTGCTGTATTCTGTACACACACACACACACACACACACACACACAGTCCCCTCCCTCCTGGGAAAGCAAAAGTTGTTGTTGTTTTTTGAGACAGAGTCTCGCTCTGTTGCCCAGGCTGGAGTGCAGTGGCACGCGGTTTTGGCTCACTGCAACCTTTGCCTCCTGGGTTCAAGCGGCTCTCCTGCCTCAGCCTCCCCAGTAGCTGGGATTATGGGCGTGCGCCACCATGCCTGGCAAATTTTTGTATTTTCAGTAGAGAGAGGGTTTCACCATGTTGGTCAGGCTGGTCTCGAAGTCCTGACCTCATGATCAGCCTGCCTCGGCCTCCCAAAATGCTGGAACTACAGACGTGAGCCACTGCGCCAGGCAGCAGAAGTTTTTGACGATTTCTAGACAATGTGTGTAAAGACCTTTAGAGTCTAAAGTTAATGTTTGCATTTTGCAGTCTTAGGCAGATACAATGAGGTATAAAACACCTCTATCCAAACAACTGAGTTGGACTGGGCTGAAGATTTAAGTCCTTCAGTTCGGTGTAGTATCCCAAGAGTGGGATCCGTTGTATGTTTGTTACAGGCCACTCCCTCTAGCTTTATCTGCTAAGCACTGTGAGATTGTGCTTAATTTCACTTTGGTTTTCTAGTTCAGGCCTCCAGCCTGGAGGTGAATGTCCTGTGTAGAAAACTGGCCATAAATTTAGGGCTGTTATGAAATTTAGTCTGTCATGCCAACCCATATAGCTGTCATAAGTTCTGCTGGTTTTTCTTTCTCTTGATGGAGTTCTGCCTATGGCAAGCCCCAGTTATCATCACTCACGCTAAAGCTCTACAAGTACCACAAGTAGAGAGAGGAAATGGCTGGCACTTTCAGCTCACCTAGAGAGGCCTCTTCTCCCTCTGGAATTTTAATTCTGCTAGTCCTCTTTGCTATGCATAGAAGACAGCTCTTCAATCTTTAAAGCCATTTATTTATTTGAATAATCTATTTAGTTTTATCTAGTTGTTACTGTGAAAGCACTAGCTTGCCTCTCTCTATTAAAGCTAACCTGGAAGTCTCATTATTTTTTGAATTTTTGTTGCCACAAACATGACATAAGAATAAGTTTGTTCTGGGCCAGGCATGGTGGCTTATGCCTGCAATTCCAGCACTTTGGAAGGCCAAACTGGGAGGATTCCTTGAGGCCAGGAGTTCAAGACCAGCCTGGGCAACATAGGGAAACCTCATCTAAAAAAAAAAAAAAATTAACCAGGTATGGTGGCGGGCACTTGTATAGTCTCAGCTACTCTGGAGGCTGAAGTGAGAGGATTACATGAGCCCAGGAGTTTGAGGTTACAGTGAGCTATGGTTACGCCACTCTACTCCAGCTTGGGCAGCAACAGAGTGAGACCCTGTCTCTTTAAAATAAATAAATAGGCCAAATGTTTAAAGTAGAAAGTCAAAGTGGCCAGCCATTCCACTACAAGATAACCAGTGTTTTCAGTTTGATTTATAGCTTTCCAGATTAGCATGTGTGTGCATGACTTTGTCATTTTACCTTTTTTTTTTTTTTTTTTTTGAGAAAGAGTCTTGCTTTTTTGCCCAGGCCGGAATGTGGTTGCAGGATCTTGACTCACCGCAACCTCCGCCTCCCAGGTTCAAGCAATTCTCCTGCCTCAGCCTCCCGAGTAGCTGGGATTACAGGCATGCACCACCACGCCCGGCTAATTTTGTATTTTTAGTAGAAATGGGGTTTCTCCATGTTGGTCAGGCTGGTCTCAAACTCCTGACCTCAGGTGATCCGCCCGCCTTGGCCTCCCAAAGTGCTAGTATTACAGGTGTGAGCCACCGCATCTGGCCGGGAAATATTTTTTAAAAATTTCTTGAAGCCCTTAAAGTTTACAGGCTCTGCTAACATGATAAATACCCAATAAAAATATAGAAAAGAAATTCTAAGAGATTTTAATATAGAATCATTATCTGTTAACTGTTTTAGTTGAGAGCAACAGAAACTGAGTCTGGTTAAACTAAGCAAAGAGTGATTTATTGGAAGGATGATAGGTATACAAAAATGGGATGGGGGATGAAATTGAACAAGTCTCAGAAAGGCAGGAATTGGCACAGCTCTTGGGACCTCAGTGGCAGGAGTTTGTGAACCCTTTCTTCAGGACATTGGAGACCCACTGCCCTTCAGACTCTCTCCCCATTGACATTTTAAATCCCCATAAAAGAGGGTTGTTGGATTTCTTTCGGCAGAGGTGTCTGTGCTGCATCAATCAGTTATGGTCCAGGAAATATAGTCACAACAAAGCATACACGTGACCACCAGGGGCGCATCCCTGCATATCAGGGAGTATTCCCAGAGAAGGGAAGTTGACACAAACCGGATTGCCTCTCCAGTGGTGTGCACCACAAAACCAGACTGGAGCACGTGGTGGGGGCAGAGTGGAGGGAATGGTATTACAGGCTCAGAACGTGTCAGCAGTGGAGGAGAACTCAGATGAAGATGCAGAATTTGTGGCAGAGCTGCACTTGTACTCCAGTCTTCAGGCTCTTGCATCTCTTACACCGTGATGCTTATCTAGAGATGGAAAAGTGTTACAGCGGAGGCTTGGGTGGCCAGTGTGATAACTCCTGGGCAGACATCAGTGCCCAGTGTGTACAGGATGCCACTGAACTGAAATGGAAATGTTCCACTCCATATATGCTTGAAGATCTCCTTTTGGGGGTTTTCAATAGCAAAATGGTAATGTCAAAATATAAATGTGTTTCACAGCTAGTTTTGGAAACATTTTTCATTCCATTCCACATGAGATACTTACTGACAAAAACTAAGGAATTTATGCTGCCTACACGAAAAACTATGGACTTCTACTTTTCAGAATTTCCCTGCTGAAAAAAGGAGACACTTCTGGACATACACATTCAGAGCACAGTATAGCCTATGTGATTTGTGTAAAGCTCCAAACTGTTCTCTCTAGTATGTGTGATATGCAGTAGGGAGAGGCCAGTACATTTCAGTAAAATTGCAAGGACAGTTTCAGCAGAACTGATTTTAAGGAGCAACAGAAACATAGCACTTGAAAATGAATAGGGTTCGTTTAATGGACAAAGCATGATAACAGTTCTTTGATTGCTGAAGAATAATGGGTGGTTCACATTAGACATTAAGTTTTTAAAAATAAAGTTCCAAACCATTCACCAGCTGGGCAGGTTCTGTTATCCTGCTGTAGCATGCAGCTGGAATGTGCTTATTTGCTTAAGGAAATTATGCTTTTGTGATTTTGTATTCATATCAGAAATGTGTGCTTCTGTTTCCTAATAATTACTTCACTGTTATTGGATTATAACATAGTTACTCCCTGTCCTTTCATGGGATTCTTGAAACCTTTATTCAGGATCATTTCTTCTGAGTCAGTTTACAGTGCAATAAAAACTGTTTTATTTTAATTATTTTTAAAAAATTTTCCTGAAACTTAAGAGACAGAAGGCAACATATAATCCAGGGTTTTCTTTTGCTATAGAGGATATCATTAGGACGTTTGACAAAATCTGAATAAACTTGTAGACTAGGCTGGGCACAGTGGCTCATGCCTGTAATCCCAGCAGTTTGAGAGACCAAGGCAGGAGGATAGCTTGAGCCCAGGAGTTTGAGACCAGCCTGGGCAATGTAGTGAAATCCCATCTCTACAATAAATCAGTAAATATTTATTGTATTAATCTTATGTTATCTTATGTTAATCTCTTATTGTGCTGTGGTCCCAGCTTCCTGGGAGGCTGAGGCCGGAGGATCACTTAAGCCTGAAAGGTAGAGGCTGCAGTAAGCCATGATCACACCACTGCACTCCATCCTGGGTGGCAGAGTGAGATGCTGTCAATAGAAAAAAAAAAAAAAAAGAAACAAACCTTTTCAACCTCCTTAAAATTCTCTCGTGCCCCACAGGAAGCTCTTGGACTAAAGCACAGAAAGTCATTACTAATTCTATCTGGAAGCCAGAAAATAAGGTGGAGCCAAAGATGACTCCAAACTTGGGAGACTGGGTAGACTGGATGGTGATGCTGTTGACCAAAATAGGTAATAGAAGAGGAGTATCAGGTTTTAACTGAGAGGGAGGGTTAGGATGGTGAGAAGAAGTTCAGCTTTAGACTTGTTGAGTTTGAGGTGCCCATGAAGTCTAAGTGGAGCTATGTAGAAGGCAGGTGGAAATGCGAATGTGGAGTTCTGGAAAGGAATTTGGGATTGCAGTGTAGACTTGAGCTTACTTGTAGCATCTGAGGTCTAGCTGAGAACTCCTAAGTAGATGAGAATTCACTAGAGAGGCTATAGATAGGCAAGTTTAAAGAGAAGGGTAGAGACACGGAGAAGGGGGTTGGGGAGCAGCCAAAGCAGGCGTCCCCGCAGTTGACTTGCCACCAAGGGAATGTGGGTGAATGACCAAGGCAGGCGTCCCCATGGAGATCAGACACCAAAGGAACGTGGGTGAATAATCAGAGAGGCATCCCTGCAATGATTAAACACCAAGGGAAGGCTGCCTTCCCGAGTCCGTGACCGGCACCGGAGTTTTGGGTCCACGGATAAAATGTGTCTCCTTTGTCTCTATCAGAAAATGAAAGGAATTGAAATTAAGAGAAGGGAGAGATTGAAGGGTGGCGCCAAGATTGAAAGGAGAAAGAGGTTGAGGGATAGTGAGAGAGGTTGGAGAAAAGAGTAAAAAGAGGCCGCTTACCCGATTTAAAATCGGTGAGATGTTCCTTGGGCTGGTTGGTCTGAGGACCTGAGGTTGTAGGTAGATCTCTTCACGAAGTGAGGATGAGGACAGGGGACTGGTCTCCCGAAGGAGTCCCGCTGACCCTGGTCTTTGGCACCAAATGTTTCACGTGTGCATGTGAAGAGACCCCCCCAAACAGGCTTTGTGTGAGCAACAAGGCTGTTTATTTCACCTGGGTGCTAGTGGGCTGAGTCCAAAAAAGGAGTCAGCAAAGGGCGGGAATTATCATTAGTTCTTATAGGTTTTGGGATAGGCGGTGGAGTTAGGAGCAATGTTTTGCAGGCAGCGGGTGGATCTCACAAAGTACATTGTCAAGGGTGGGGAGAATTATAAAGAACCTTCTTAAGGGTGGGGGAGATTACAAAGTACATTGATCGGTTAGGGTGGGGCAGAAACAAATCACAATGATGGAATGTCATCAGTTAAGGCTATTTTCATTTCTTTTGTGGATCTTCAGTTGCTTCAGGCCAGCTAGATGTATACGTGCAGGTCACTGGGGATATGATGGCTTAGCTTGGGCTCAGAGGCCTGACAATATATACTCGTAAAAAACAAGAAAAGAAAAATCAAAGCAGTTTAGAAGGTTATAAACAAAAAATATGCCATCTTGTCCCACCCTACTCCTTACCACATTTTCTTGTGTCTCCTTCGAGACAATTTTAGTCTTATGGAAACATATGTATTACACATATGGCTTATCTTTTATTATACTTTCCCATTATTGCTTTGGTTAGGAGTGCCTTTTCAGCTGCTTAATAAACATGGTTGACAGCCCACAGGCATGTGGACAAAATGGCCCATTAGATTGATTTTTTTTCCTTCTCTTGTTCTGTAATGTGTTTTATGATGGTGTGCTTATAGTCTTGTCGGAAAAAAATTTCTTCCTTTGCATTTTTATTTTCTTTTACATTTTCTTAAACAGTAATATTACTGTTCAAGCAAACATTTCTTGATATTCCTAAATCTTTCCTTGATTAATAATGCTAATATAGTGTCACATTCTTGTTTGCTTAATGTGAACAGACTGTGAACAGACTGATACGAAATGTTATTAAGTGTTAACTATTTATTAAGACTTCATAAATACTACCCTGGGTGCTAGACGTGCAATAATGAGCAAAACAGACCTGGTGTTTTTCCTCATGGATTATTACCTATGTATAAGAGAGTAATACCATTATTGTTTGAATCATGTGAAAGATAAGATTTAGCATCAGTTCTTAAAGGTGAAGTGATTTTGTTCTCTCAGAGTTTAAAGACTTTTCACCTTGGAGAGGCTCGCGTGTCAGTTGGCGTGCCCATCTGCCTCCCTGTATCATCAGTCACTCTGTTTTGACAGAAGCCACATTCCAAAGTCACTTCTTTTCACAGGTTCTGAAGGTGGAAAAAAAGAAACCCCAGCCACTTCCTAGTTGAACCTAAATTCTTTAAAATACATTTAATTTTGAATAAGGCTTTGGTAAAATCACACAGTTCTTCATAATGGTTTAGCATCCTCCTTCCTAGAGAGTCCAGCCTACAGTATGAATTGACCTGATCCTGCCTGTGTGGGTGTGCCTGAAATCAAGGCGGATATCTTTAAAAGAGACCCACCCATAGCATTCCTGACCTGTAAACTCGCTGCATGTTGGATTGAGACTGCGGTGGGGGGGCTCTGTAATTTCCAGGCTTTTTAATGATGTGTACAGTTGAGAGTAAATAGTTTAAATAATTTCATAGTTAGGGAGAGTTCAGCACTGGTATTAAACAGAGTTCTTAAGGCAAAATATTTTCAGATACAGTTCTTAAAGAGATGATCAGAATGTTAATTTTTCTTGTCTTTTAAATTGCTTTTCATTTTGCTTTGCCCAGCTTAATAACTTTTTTATATTGTTATGTTGTTAATTTTTAAACAATTTTCTGCCTTAAGATATTGGCTCAATTTTAGGTATTCTGTTCTAAACACATTACAGTCTTACTCCCATTTAAAAGTTTAAGTATTAAATATTGACACCAAACTTTTTCTGCTGTGTGGAAGAGATTGATGAAGACCCAAATGAGTTTGTGAATAGTTTTCAGAAGTTATTTAGATCATCAAGTTGAATCAGTACCAACAGATTCCATCCATCTTCCATGCCTATCTGAATGCCTGTCCTTTGTCACATACAACTGTGTCTTTCCGAACTATTCCAGTCTGTAACACTGAAGCAGCTTTCCAAAACTAACATTACGGGGATAGGATATTCTAAAATATCTTTACCCCTTGGATATGTATAACAATTGATTGTATAGTTATGTAAATTTTATTAATTTGTTTTTATTTGTTTATATCGTATCTCTGATCAGATTGCCTGAGAGGGCAAGAAAGGATCTTTTAGTTCTTTGGGACCTTTTGTAATGCTTAATTGACGATATGCCCCTGGTAAATTTTGTTTAACCATCCTCACTGCAGTTGTTCCAAAGTTAAGATTAAAGTTAACACACAAACTTGTCTAGCAGATATCTTCTATAAAGCAAGATTTCCATTAAAATTGACCAAGAAGCAAAAAGTTTTCATCTATGAGATCAAAAGTAAAGTAGCTTGGTTTTTGTGTATTAAAATCCAAGTATCCCAAAGGTTAAAACAAGGGATAATCTTACGATGTTTGGGAATGAATACTTAAGATGAAGGGGGACAGAAAAATTCATGTCAGTTACTAACAATTTTTCCCCTTGTTTTGGGTTTCACTTTCTTTTTACTTTTATATAATGCTGGGCCACACTTTTTTTTTTTTTTTCTGTATCACCTAGGCTGTAGGGAAGTGGCATGATCATGGCTCACTGCCATCTCGACCTTCTGGGCTCAGGTGATCCTCCCACCTATCTCCTGAGGACCTGGGACTACAGGCATGTGCCACCATGTCCAGCTAGTGTTTTTGTTTTTTGTTTTTGTAGAGGCAAGATTTTGCCATGTGCCCAGGCTGGTCTCAAACTCCTGGGCTCAAGTTATCTGCCCACCTTGGCCTCCCAAAGTGCTAGGATTACAGGCATGCGCCACTGCACCCAGCCTGGACCACACTTATATAAACATCTTAGTTTTTTGCATGATTTACTTGTGTTATCACTACCAACAAAGGTTAATTTGAACTACGTGTTTCTGCAGGGGCCTACTGCTGATAATTATTTGGAATACTATGGCTGGGTGGCTTTAAGAATGTGTGGTAGTAAAACATTTACAAATATTTTACATTCTAATAAAGCTGAATTTACTTTTGAACTTTTGATCTCTTCATCTGTAGGCCAATATAGTACTTTTTTGGGACAGGCTTTCTCTTTGTTGATTTATATTTTTTGCTTTTTTTATTAGAACAAAAGAAATTATGCTAGCATTTTAGAATCTATTTAAGAAAATCAAATAATGATAAAAATCAGTGTTAGGTGGTGTTCTTATGCAGTCCTTCTTGCTCCCCTTCTTTTACTGTTCATCTGAAGGGCATATAATTTATAAGTTATTTCTATTGAAAACAAGTAGCCCTGCTTATCTCTTAGTGTTAGATTTGACTGTTGCTTACAAAATTCTTTTTTTTTTTTTTTTTGAGATGGGGTTTCGCTCTTATTTCCCAGGCTGGAGTGCAATGGCTTGATCTCGGCTCCCCACAACTTCCATCTCCAAGGTTCAAGCAATTCTCCTGCCTCAGCCTCCTGAATAGCTGAGATTATAGGCATGCGCCACCACACCCACCTAGTTTTGTATTTTTAGTAGAGATGGGTTTTCTCCATGTGATCAGGCTGGGCTTGAACTCCCAACCTCAGGTGATTCGTCCGCCTCGGCCTCCCAAAGTGCTGGGATTATAGGCGTGAGCCACCGTGCCTGGCCTAAAATTCTTTTTTTTTTTTTTCTTGTTTCCAGTGAGGTTGGAACTTAGAAAATTCCTTTTTTTTTTTGACACGGAGTCTTGCTCTGTCACCCAGGCAGGAGTGCAGTGGCGTGATCTTGGCTTACTGCAGCCTCCACTTCCCAGATTCAAGCAACTCTCCTCCCTCAGCCTCCCAAGTAGCTGGGATTAGAGGTGTGCACCACCAATCCTGGCTAATATTTGCATTTTTAGTAGAGACAGGTTTCACCATGTTGACCAGGCTGGTCTTGAACTCCTGACCTCAAGTGATCTGCCCGCCTCAGCCTCCCAAAGTGCTGGGATTACAGGTGTGAGCCAGTGCGCCCGGCGGAACTTAGAAAATTCTTAAGGTATAATTCAGCAAATCTCTAAGGACCTAGATTTTAGGTAGGAATGTTTTTCTTGCCATGATGGAAATAAACATTTTTAACCTCTCTTTTAGATCCATCATGTTACACAAAATGGAGGACTATATAAAAGACCGTTTAATGAAGCTTTTGAAGAAACACCAATGCTGGTTGCTGTGCTCACGTATGTGGGGTATGGCGTACTCACCCTCTTTGGATATCTTCGAGATTTCTTGAGGTATTGGAGAATTGAAAAGTGTCACCATGCAACAGAAAGAGAAGAACAAAAGGTAACTGTTAGAGAGTTTTTGATTCTGTAAATAGAAGCCTTTTATGGAAATCTTAGTATTTTTGCACAAAAGCTTTTTCTCAGAAATTTGGGTACACATTAAAATTAAACTATTCCAGATGCAGTTAAATGAAAACATTCTACAAAGAAAGCTGAAAAATAACAAGGTTAAAGATATCAAAGCATTCATCATGGGTTTAATCAAGAAGAACCTAAGGAGGTGGGCGGCACTATCCCTGTTTTATGGATTAGAAATCAAAAAGTCACAAGTTAAACAACGTTTCCCAAGATGCCAGGTGTCAGAGCTGCTGTGTGGACAGAGGACTGTGAAGTGAAAAAGCCTTGCTCTTTCTGTTCATACCAGCATGCTGAATCCCAGGTTGTGTTTACCATTTTCTGAAAAGGTTGTATTCTTTGGAATTAATAATGTGTTTTCTCATAGATACATTATACATAGTTGGGTGATTCACACATCAGCTCCTCTCCCCAGACAAACAAGCTGTAATACAGAATGTGGCCAACCGATTCTATTTACGGTAAACAACACTCTTGTTTTAGGAATGGCAAACATATGAGCATGGTTGTCTGGGGAAGAGGGCTTCTTCATTCACTTCACTTTTCTCTGCATGTTCCTTTGTACCTCTGAAGGGTTTTTTGTTTGTTTGTTTGTTTGTTTATTTTTTGAGACAGAGTCTCGCTTTGTCAACCCAGGCTGGAGTGCAGTGGTGCGATCTCGGCTCACTGCAAGCTCTGCCTCCTGGGTTCACACCATTCTTCTGCCTCAGCCTCCCAAGTAGCTGGGACTACAGGCACCTGCCACCACGCCCGGCTAATTTTTTTTTTTTTTTTGAGACAAGTCTTGCTCTGTCGCCCAGGCTGGAGTGCAGTGGCTCGGTCTCGGCTCACTGCAAGCTCCGCCTCCCGGGTTCACACCATTCTCTGGCCTCAGCCTCCCCAGTATCTGGGACTACAGGTGCCTGCCACCGTGCCCGGCTAATTTTTTTTGTGTTTTTAGTAGAGACGGGGTTTTACTGTGTTAGCCAGGATGGTCTCAATCTCCTGACCTTGTGATCCACCCACCTCGGCCTCCCAAAGTGCTGGGATTACAGGTGTGAACCACTGTGCCTGGCCAGTTTTTTTGTTTTTTTTACTTGTTATTGACTTGAAGCTCACTTCTGGAGTTGTATACATTACATATGTGTTACCTAGTCTCCATAAATAAATAAAATGAGGGTTAAAGATGCCTAATTTTACTAAAAATAAAACAAACCTGTGTGTTCTTGGCATGTCCCACATGGCAAAAGGTTGTCTTTTAGCCCAGGCAAATGTACCAGATTAGAGAAGGACTTAAGACATTAGAGTTTTTTTGTGGTTCCTGTGCGTCCGAGGAAAAGAGGCAGGTGTGGGGTGAGCAAAGTCAACGCTGAGACGAGCCAGTGAACATTGATTGTAGAAGAAACAATTATTCAGGTAATGGATAGTGGTCATGTGCAAATGGGAAGAGTATATCACGAAAACATTGTCAGTTACTAGGAAGACAAAACCAGTCAGTAGATACATGGATTCAAAAGTGGCTCCTGGGAGAACTCAAGATTAGGCATCCTTTCTCTCTCATCTCAACCATCTTGTACTCCATCCGAGCCCCAGCACAAGTTGGCCATCCTACTCATTGCCCTGCAAGTTAATTTCACAAAGAAGGTAAATAAGTTTTTTGAATGCAAAGCCCTGCATTCAGAAGTTGGTCCAGTAACCCTAAGTAATTTTTATCTTTTAAAACCCAAACACATTTTTAACATTTTTTATTTTATTATCATTATTTTTTAGACAAGAGTCTCGCTCAGTCACCCAGGCTGGAGTACAGTGGTGTGATCTCGGCTCACTGCAACCTCCGCCTCCCGGGTCCAAGCAATTCTCATGCCTCAGCTTCCCAAGTAGCAGGGAGTACAGGCATGTGCTACCACTCCCGAGATAATTTTGTATTTTTAGTAGAAACGAGGTTTCACCATGTTGGCCAGGCTGTTCTCAAACTCCTTGACCTCAAACGATCCACCTGCCTCGGCCTCCCAAAGTGCTGGGATTACAGATGCGAGCCACTGTGCCTGGCCCACATTTTTAATACGTTTTGATCCCCCTTCTCCCCCTGAGCATGTCCACTCAGAGTGCATCTACAGTACGTTGATTTTGTATAGCCCTCAGTGACAGCTTACCATACCCTTCCTAGGTTGTACAGTATTGTAGTTACTTGTTCACAGGCCTGTATCCTCCTACTAGACTGAGTTGATGGCAGTTATGACCGATGGTAGCTGAAGTTTTATTTAAATATTCAAACTAAAAACTCTTTATCTGCAGGGACCTCTCCTAGTGTAGATGCATAGTCGAAACTTGATAATTGACGTGTATTGCTGGTGGTGAGGGAAGTGCTGATTGTGGTGCAGACAGCACATTCCTGGATGAGGGGATAGTATAGGCAAAGGCATGAAGAATGTTTGGGAGAATCTGGAATGTAGACAGAAGAGAAATTGTGTTTTGAAAATCAAAGTAAGAAGTTTGGTAGGCAATGAGGAGTATTGTTTTTGTTTTTGTTTTTAAATAGAGACAGCGTCTCGCCATGTTGCCCAGGCTGGTCTCAAACTCCTGTGCTCAAGCGATCCTCCTGCCTTGGCCTCCCAAAGTGTTGGGATTATAGGAGTGAGCCACCATGACCCCAAGGGCAGTTTTTGATCAGGGGATTTTTCATACAGCTTGTGCAGCTGGTGCTCAAAGTGTGATGAATGAATGAAACCAACAAGATGTATCTGAATTACTTTGTGAGTACATTATCTTTGGAACTTGTTTCATGTTTACAGAAAGTAAATTGGTGGTTTAAGTGTTGGGAGCTGCCTGTGTATCCTTTGTGTGAAAGAATTAGAACACACAGATTTTATTCTTAAGTAGTTTCTAATTTTGTTGAGGAAACAAACATTTGAAAGTTATGGGCCTTTGCAAAACCATTATACAAGTAAATAATACTTAGATTATATGAAGATATAGAACAAAAAAAGTATCTGAGTAGCATAGGGTTAATCAGGAAACAATTCTTGGAGGAAGTAATACAAGGAAATGGGAGGCTGAGGAGAGCATTTGCCTCTGCAGTTTATGGAGAGGATTTTATTAAATTATTCAAATTCATTTCAATAGAATATTCCCAGTAGATAACATTAGCATTTAAAACAGCCAACTTCTGCCATTTTCTTACAAAAATTCAGCTTTTAGAGGGAAAGGAAAAGTCATTCCTTTCCTGTGATAGATCATGTTTGTTTTCTAATGTTGGATTAGAGATGGGGAAAGAGGGAGGCAAATTAAGTGTTAAACTGGAAGGAGGTGAGGGAAAGTGGTTGCTTGGGATCATAAAATGCAAACATAATGTTGCTACTTCCTCATTTCACTGAGAGAGTGGTATTCATAACCACATCCTGGTTTTCTTCCTCATTTCATTATAAAAGAGAGCCCAGTTTAACTGTGTTAATTCTTTGATGTAAGGAAATACCGTATGTTGCTTTGAATACAACTAAATCACATGATCATACCAATAAAGATGAGTTACCATGAGTTTGTTCTATTTTATATACATTGCATAAAATTCTTGGAATTCTTTACCCCTTAATCCTCTGTTATTCGTGGTGTTTTGGATGAGAATGTTGTTTTTCTCAATCTATGGATTATTTCTTTGTGATGTGAGGTGAAGCTAGTAGTTCAGAAACACGTACGTGACAGATACAGCAAAAGCTTGAATTAATAAAGATGTTCTAGGCTGAGGCAGGAGGATCACTCAAGGCCAGGAGTTTGAGACCAGCTGACACAACATAATGAAACCTCATCTCTACAAAATGAAAAAATTTAATTCAGAAAAAAATATTCTAATATTTAGATAGGAAATAGCTAGGAACGTAAGGAGTAAATTATGGTAGGTAGTTACCACACACTGACAAAATTTTAAACTAACATTTTGCCTCCACAGCTTGTTCATGATCAGATATTTAAAAACGGGAGGACCAAATACCACATTCTCACTTATTTTTTAATTTTTTTAATTTTTTTTTTTTTTGAGATGGAGTCTCACTCTGTCGCCCAGGCTGGAGTACAGTGGCGTGATCTCGGCTCACTGCAATCTCCGCCTCCACGGTTCAAGTGATTCTCTTGCCTCAGCCTCCCAAGTAGCTGGAATTACAGTCATGCACCACCACGCCCAGCTAATTTTTTGTATTTTTAGTAGATACAAGGTTTCACCATGTTGGCCAGCCTGGTCTCAAACTCCTGACCTCAGCCTGCCTTGGCCTCCCAAAGTGCTGGGATTACAGGAGTGAGCCACCGTGCCTAGCCTGTTCTCACTTATAAGTGGGAGCTAAATGATGAGAACATATGGATACAAAGAGGAAAATGACACTTGTGGTGGGTAGGAAGAGGGAGAGGATTAGAAAAAATAACCCATTGGGTGCTAGGCTTAGTACCTGGGTGACAAAATAATCTGTACAACAAGCCATTGTGATGCGAGTTTACCTGCACAACCTGCACACGTACCCCTGAACCTAAAATAAAAGTTACAAAAAATAAGTAGATTAAAAATGGGAGGGATAGGATACGGCGAAGGGACATTATATGTTTATATCCCAATAGGCTTATTTTCAAGATACAAAAGAAAGAAAGAAATTCAAATACATTACTAGGAATTCCCAGAGGGATTTTATTCTTGGCCTCCTTCAAAAAGTAGCGTACAGCCGGGTGCGATGGCTCACACCTATAATCCCAGCACTTTGGGAGGCCGAGGTGGGTGGATCACCTGAGGTCAGGAGTTCAAGACCAGCCTGGCCAACGTGATGAAACCCCATCTCTACTAAAAATACAAAAATTAGCCAGGCGTGGTGGTGGGCACCTGTAATCCCAGCTACTTGGGAGGCTGAGGCAGGAGAATGGCTTGAACCTGGGAGGCGGAAGTTGCAGTAAGCTGAGATCTTGTCACAGCACTCCAGCCTGGGCAATAGAGACTGTCTCAAAATAAAAAAAAAAAAGTAGCGTACTAAGAATATTCTGGTACCTGTCATTTTGGTGCATTAAGCTAGGGGATTGATTGTTTGGTTTGTCTTCTTTAATTCTGTGTATGATTCTACATTTAAAAAGAACACAACTGGCTGGGCACGGCGGCTCACGTCTATAATCCTAGCACTTTGGGAGGCCAAGGCGGGCGGATCACCTGAAGTCAGGAGTTGAGACCAGCCTGACCAACATGGTGAAACCCGGTCTCTACTAAAAATACAAGAATTATCTGGGGCGTGGTGGCACATGCCTGTAATCCCTGCTACTTGGGAGGCTGAGGCACGAGAATCACTTGAACCAGAGAGGTGGAGGTTGCAGTGAGCCAAGATCACACCATTGCACTCCAGCCTGGGCAACAAGAGAGAAACTCCGTCTAAAAATAAATACATACATACATACATACATACATACATACATACATACAGAAGAGCACTACTTAGCTCCCCCAGAATCATCTGAACCTGGGAGGTGGAAGTTGCAGTGAGCTAAGATTGCACCACTGCACTCCACCCTGGACAATGGAGCGAGATTGTCTAAAAAAAATAAGAAGAATAAAAAATAAAGAGCACTGTATTTCATTGTTTTGTGTTAGTTGCTGGGCACAGGACAGCAGTAGTCTTTTTAAATAATTGACATATCATAAAGGTTACCTATTTAAAGTGTACGATACAATGGTTTTTAGTATATCTACAGAGTTGTGCAGCCAGCACCACAATTTAATTTTGTAATGTTTTTCTCTTCTGAAAAAGAAACCATGAACCATTAGCAGTCACTCCTTCCTCATCCACCCTCCCCACCCTCGGCAGCCACTAATCTACTTTCTGTCTCTGTAGATTTACTATTCGGGACTTTTCATATAAATGGATGTTTCATGTAAATGGGATCATACAGTGTATGTTCTTCTGTGTCTGGCTCCTTTCACTTGGCGTAATGTATTTGAAGTTCATGTTGTAGCATGTATCGGTACTTCATTGCTTCCTATTGCTGAATAATATTTCATCATATGGAGCAGTCATCTCTACTTACTATAGGGATTTCTCACTGGTAAAAAACTATACTCAAAATAAACCTTTCAAAGAAGCTTTGTGTAGTAGGTTTACCACTGTATCTGTTTGGACTAGTGGCAGTAGGTTTACCTCTGTATCCGTTTGGACTAGTGCCAGTGTTAGGTTTGCAAGAGTTTCCCTGTTACCTGTTTTCCCTGTTTTTCATGCCAGGAAAGCTTTTCCTTCAAATAGTCCCATGGCTAGTTCCCTCACTTCCATTTTATCCTCTGTTCTACCCAGGGCACCCCAGCTAATTTGCAGCATGTCTCCCCCTTTCCTTTTTGCTTTTGTTTCTGTTGGTATTTGTCACTGTCTAACATACTTTATTTATTTTTATTTTTATTTATTTTTATTTTCTTGAGACAGTGTCTTGCTCTGTTGCCCAGGCTGGAGTGCAATGGCGCGATCTCGGCTTACTGCAACTTCTGTCTCCCAGGTTCAAGCAATTCTCCTGCCTCAGCCTCCAGAGTGGCTGGGACTACAGGCATGTGCAACCACACCTAATTTTTGTGTTTTTAGTAGAGACAGGGCTTTGCCATGTTGGCCAGGCTGGTCTTGAACTCCTGGGCTCATGTTTATCTATCTGCCCACCTCGGCCTCCCAAAGTGCTGGGATTACAGGCGTGAGCCACTGAGCCTGGACTAGCAAACTTTGTATTTTATATGTTTATCTCTTCCACCAGAATACAAATTCCAAGAGGGCAAGGATTATTACCTTTTTGTTTACTACTCTGTACTATAGAGTGCTTGGCACATATTAGACGCTCGGTAAATGTTTAAGATACAAGGCCAGAGGCCAGGCGTGTTAGCTCACACCTGTAATTTCAAGCACTTTGGGAGGCTGAGGTGGGAAGATAGCTTGAGCGCAGGAGTTTGAGACCAACCTGAGCAATGTAACAAGACCCTGTCTCAACAAGAAAATTAAAAAATTAGCTGGGTGTGGTGGCCTACACCCATAGTCTTAGCTACTTGGGAGACTGAGGTGGGAGGATCACTTGTACCTAGGAGTTCAAGGCTGCTGTGAGCTGTGATTGAGCCACTGCACTCTAGCCTGGGTGACAGAGTGAAACCTTGTCTTTTTTTTTTTTTTTTTTGAGACAGGGTCTTGCTCTATCATCCAGGCTGGAGTGCAATCGCATGATCTCAGCTCACTGCAGTCTCTGCCTTCTGGGTTCAAGTGATTCTCATGCCTCAGCCTCCTGAGTAGCTGGGACTGCAGGCGTGCACCACCACGCCCAGCTAATTTTTTGTATTTGTGTGTGTGTGTGTGTGTGTGTGTGTGGAGACGGACTCTCGCTCTGTCGCCCAGGATGGAGTGCAATGGCGCAATCTTGGCTTACTGCAACCTCTGCCTCCCGGGCTTAAGCGATTCTTCTGCCTCAGTCTCCCAAGTAGCTGGGATTACAGGCATCTGCCATAACACCTGGCTAATTTTTGTATTTTTAGTAGAGACAGGGTTTCACCATGTTGGCCAGGCTGGTCTTGAACTCCTAACCTTAGGTAATCTGCCCACCTCGACCTCCCAAAGTACTGGGATTACAGGCATGAGCCACCGTGCCTGGCCATTATCTCTAAAAAAAAAAAAAAAAGTTTAAGATATGAATGGTATTGTGAGTGGTGGTAACAGTAACAATGTAAAGTATTTTGAAGTATTTGTAGTCGAGGTAGGTGTGTACGTACACACATGCACACACAAACATACAAATGACTGTTTTAGATGTAGGAAAAACCAGTGTTTTTTTATCTTGAAATCTCATTCTGCGCTTTCATGGACAGCATAGAAACAGCAAGGAAGTGGCTTCCTGTTTTTAACATTAAAAACAGGAAAGGACAGACGGTGGTATGACCTATATGAACAGTAAGGAAAGTCGTTAATTAACCATGGTTGAAAGGTTTAAAAGTTGTAGTCTGAAAACCTTTCATTGAGTATTTCACCTACTTTTCTTCATTAAGTAGAGATAAAAACAGAATTATTGGTTTATAAAATACTTTTAGAATTTATAATGCTTTCCTTTTCCCTTTTTCTTTTCTTTCTTTGTGTGTTTTTTTTTTTTTTTTTTTTTTTTTTTTTTTTTGAGACAAGGTCTTACTCTGTCACCCAGGCTGAAGTGCAGTGGCACAATCTCAGCTCACTGCAGCCTCGACCTCCCTGTGCTCAGGTGATCCTCCCACCTCAGCCTCCGGAGTTGCTGGAACTACAGGCACGTACCACCATGCCCTGCTAATTTTTGTGTTTTGTTGTAGAGACTGGGTTTTGCCCCCAGGCTGATCTTGAACTTCTGGGCTTAAGTGATCCGCCTGCCTCAGCCTCCTAAAGTGCTGGGATTATAGGCATGAGCCACTGTGCCTGGGCCAGATTTTTTTTTTTTCTTTTCAGAGACAGGATCTTGCTCTGTTGCCCAGGGTTGAGTGCAGTGGCACAATCTCAGCTCGCTGCAACCTTTGCCTCCCACGCTCCAGTGATTCTCCCACCTCAGCTTCTTGAGTAGCTGGGACTAGAGGCGCACGCTACCACAACTGGCTAATTTTTGTTTTTTTTTTTTTGTAGAGACAGGGTTTCGCCTTGTTGCCCAGGTTGATCTTGAACTCCTGAGCTCAAGCGATCCACCTGCCTTGGCCTCCCAAAATCCTGGGATTATAGGCATCCACCACTGCGTCCAACTATAATGAATTTTAACTGTGTGATGACTCCATTTTCAACACTTCCTCAGGTGGGAATTATTTGGGATTTAAAAATTCTTAATTTAAGTTTTGAAACAACTTTGTCATGTTTCAGTTACTTCTAAATCTATCTCATAAGGCTATTTCCTTCTTTAGTAGAAAATACATTTTCCAGCTGGGTGTGGTGGCTCATACCAATAATCCCAGCAGTTTGGGAGACTGAGGCAGGAGGATTGTTTGAGGTTAGGAGTTTAGACTGGCGTGGGCAACAGAGAGAGATCTTGTCTCTACAAAAAATTTAAAAATTAGCCAAGCATGGTGGTGTGCACCTGTATGTAGTCCTGGCTACTTGAGAGGCTGAGGTGGGGAGATAGCTTGAGTCCAAGAATTTGAGGCTGCAGTGAGCTATGATCATGCCACTTCTCTCCAGCCTGGGTTACAGAGTGAGACACTGTTTCTAACAATAACAACAACAACAACAACAAATGTTGCCCAAATAAAAATTCAAAACGTTATAGATTTTTTTTTTACTATCTTGTCTTTGATATGCAATATTATGTTTATAATGAAATGTCTTGAAATCTTTTAGTAGTACTATCATACCAGCAAACAGCATTAGTTATTATTATTATTATTATTATTATTATTATTTTGAGACAGAGTTTTGCTCTTGTCGCCCAGGCTGGAGTGCAGTGGTGCGATCTCGGTTCACTGCAACCTCCACCTCCCAGGTTCAAGAGATCAGCCTTCCGAGTAGCTGGGATTACAGGTGCCTGCCACCACACCCGGTTAATTTTTTGTATTTATAGTAGAGACGGGTTTCGCCATGTTGGCCAGGCTGGTCTCGAACTCCTGACCTCAGGTGATCCACCTGCCTCAGCCTCCCAAAGTGCTGGGATTACAGGCATGAGCCACTGTGTCTGGCCTTCCTTCATTTTAATAATAATGGATATTGAGGCTTTTTTCATTTCTTGTCAGTGATGAATAAAACTACTATAAATGTTCTGATATATGCATTTCCTGCATGTAAATATGAGTTTCTCCAGGGTTGGAATTATTGAGTTATAGAGTTATAGAGTATGCATGTCTTCAGTTTCACTAGATAGTGCCAAATTGTTTTCCAAAGTTATTGTACTGGTTTGTACACCTACCGGCTGTGTTTGAGAATTCTTTTTTTTTTGAGACTGAGTCTCGTTCTGTCACCCAGGCTGGAGGAGTGCAGTGGCGTGATCTCAGCTCACTGCAAGCTCCGCCTCCTGGGTTCACGCCATTCTTCTGCCTCAGCCTCCCGAGTAGCTGGGACTACAGGCGCCCGCTACCACGCCCAGCTAATTTTGTTTTTGTATTTTTAGTACAGACGGGTTTCACTGTGTTAGCCAGGATGGTCTTGATCTCCTGACCTCGTGATCTGCCTGCCTCGGCCTCCCAAAGTGCTGGGATTACAGGTGTGAGCCACTGCGCCCGGCCAAGAATTGTTCCACATCTCTTTACTAACACTCAGTATTGCCAGAATTTAAAATTTTTGCCAGTTCAATTGGTATATATGTACTAGTGTCTCATTGTGGTTTTAATTTGCAATTCTCTATTGCCCAGTGAAGCTGAACAGCTTTTTATATGTTTAATGACCATTGGAAGTGCTGATTTCATGAAGTCTCTGTTCAAATCTTTTGTCCGTTTTTCTACTGGGTTTGTGTATTTTTCTAAGTGGTTTTTAGGAAATATTTATGTATCCTACAAGTATTTTGCGTCTACCATCCCTCTTTTGTGGCTTGTCTTTCGCTTAGCATAGTGTTTTCAAGATTCATGTACCATTGTAGCAAGTAACAGTACTTCATTCCTATATCACTGTATACTATTCTGTTATGTGGATATACCACATTTTGTTACCACCTTTTGGCTGTTGTGAATAGTGCTTCTATGAACATTCACATACAAGTACTTGTTCGAGTATCTGTTTCCAATTGGTACGTACCTAAGAATGGAATTGCTGGGTCACATGGAAAGTCTATATTTACCTTTAAAAAAATTATTTTTTGGCTGGGTGTGATGGCTCACACCTGTAATCCCAACACTTTGGGAGGCCAAGGTGGGTGGATCGCTTGAGGTCAGGAGTTTGACACCAGCCTGGTCAACATGGTGAAACCCCGTCTCTACTGAAAATACAAAAATTAGCGGGATATGGTGGTGCACACCTGTAATCCCAACTACTTGAGAGGCTGAGGTACGAGAATTGCTTGAACCCAGGAGGCGAATGTTGCAGTGAGTCTAGATTGCGTCACTGCACTCCAGCCTGGGTAACAGAGCAAGACTCCATCTCAAAAAAAAAAAAAAAGAAAAAAGAAAAAATTTATCACGTTCATCGTTGTCAAAGTCTACATGTACCTTTGAGAAACCAACACACTTTTCCACCTTGGCTGTGCCATTTTGCATGTCCACCAGGAATGTATTAAGGTTTTTCTGAGTCTTATAGTTTTATATTTTACGTTTAGGGCTATGCTCCTTTTGAGTTAATTGTATAAGGTATGAGGTTTAGGTCGGGTCATTTTTTTGGCCAGTGGATGTCCTAGTGAGAAAGTTTTTAAAATAAGTATGGCATTTAAAAGTAATCTGTGAAGGTCTAAATACTTTATAGTTTTGTAGATTTAAATTTTTCTCCCACGTTTTCCTTTACTTAGCAAGTTTTGAATAAAAGTAAAGCTGAAATAAATTTGTTCCTTAAAGACTGCTAGAGTTGGTTTACTTGTCCCAGTTTTTTTTCCCTGCACTGGATGCATAGGTCAAGGGTCGAACTTTAAATCATCCTGACCTTGAGAAGACACTGAGACAGTTCTAAGCATGTTTTCCAAGCTTTTTATCCTAACATCAAAGCAGTGATTGTTTGCCTCAAATGCTCATGTTTGAGAGAAATTTTGTCTTTTGTTATATCGAGATTGGTGCCCCAGACTCTAAAATAAGTAAAAGTTATTAAATTAGAACTGACATTGAGAATTCTTAATGGAATTAGTAGTAACACTACCACTAATAGTGTTAGTTTGGAATAATACTAGTCTCAGTTTTGGCTTTGTCACTGCATTGTTATGTGACTTGGACAAAGAATTTAAATTTTATTCAGTGACTCTGTAAAATACATCTAATAAGTTATTAAACATCTATTTCTCAACAATAATTATAATGACCACGTTGTTGAAATCGTCACATTATTGGTAGAGTTACCAAAAACACTGTAGGTCATTCAAGCCAACAGAGAATTAGGCATTTATGGCTTTGTGGAGGGGCGAGAGCAGTGAGGTTAGGGCCTCCCTCCCCTAACTGGGCAGCTACCCCAAACTAGGAAACTGCTCCTGCCGTGAGTACTCTGAGTGCTGGCATCACAACTGTCGCACTGCCAGAGGCTGGTGAATAGGCAGTGGCACATAGAATCGCGCTGGTGCCGACCCAGCACTGAGGTCTGCAGGGGCTTGCCTCCTACGCTGGTGCAAAGCGTGGCCCCTGCCATCCAGCTGTTGTATGTGCTTCTCACTGGCAGACCCTACATCACATCCGCAACCCGATCACAAGGGTGTCCAGGAAATACAGTTTTTAGCCTTCCATCTCCTAAGTGTGTGTGTGTGTGTCTGTGTGTCTTGTAGGGGGTTTGTTATGTGTGTGTTGGTCATATGCAGAACATAGGAAAAGAATGGGAAGGACAATAGCACAGTGGTCTTGAAGTGCTTTGAACGCTATCAAAGTATTTCAGATTGATTTAGTAGCATCACCAAATAAGAGGCAGTGTGGCATTGGGGTTGGGAGCACAGAGTAAAGTTAGAAGGCCTGGATCATCAGTTCCTGGCTCTGCCTCTGGCTGCTTTCCTAAGTGGGAAAGCCATTTAGCCTTTCTGAAAGTGTAAGAAATATCTTCCTTAAGAGTGTGCAGAGTATGTATATTTACATACTTACATATATAAGTATATAAATATGTGTGCATGTAAAGCACTTGGCAAGTGCCTGGTATGTCATAAATACTCAGTAGATGGGCACTCTTGCTGCTGTTGTGATTATTCATCATCTTTATCATCATCATGTAAACATATTTGACTATCTGTGTTGGACCAGAATGATGCTTAACAAAGGGACAGTTGTTAGAAAGTGGACTTCAAAAAGTGATAGCATCCAGCTTTGCCCCCTGTGTTCTTAATGCCTGTATAGGTGCTACAATAGGTGGTACTTATGTATATTATATTAAACAATATGGGATATTTTCTAGAAGGCTTACCTTAAATAGGCTTAACCAGTAAAGGATATTTATTGGCTTCTTATTGAGATGTCCCTAGACTACTTTTGATAAGGTCTTCATTGATCTCTAAGCAGCAAATCCAAGAGTTTGAGTTGTTCTCTTGAGTTGAGAAGGCTCTTAAGTGAGGAGTATTTCAAGCCCAGTGATCCAGCATTTAGTCGCGAGTAGGTATTGTTTTCCCTCTCCTTACATGTGCTAGGATATGGGATTTGTGAGGATCTTCAGGAAGAATGTTTATGAGTATATCCTTAAGGCTGCTTGGACTTGACTTTACCATTGTCACTCCCTTATCAGTTAGGTATTCGCTCCTTCTCTGGACAAACACTCTTTTATAGTACTTATTATATTGTATTTATTTGTGTGTTTCTCCACTACACTAAGAGTTCTTAGGGAGTGTAGAGGTTGTTCTTACTCATTTTTATTCCCAGTGCCCAGTTTAGTGCCTGGAAGGTACTGCTCAGTAAATGTTCAATAACTGAGTATTAGGTCAATGATGATGAGTATTACATAAGCCTTAACTAAAGTCACTTCACAGTGACCAAACTGAGGAGGAGGAAGAGAGTGGTGGAGATGGGGGAATGAGGGTCGGAATAGTGGGGCTATCACTCTTTGCGGAGAGAACTGTCTTGTTCTTTAACGTATCCTGAAAGTCTGGCATACAACCCAGTATGTATCGAGTACTCACTAAGATATATTTGAATGAATGAATGAAAAGATTACCCCCCTAGTTTAACTGTGGTCTTAGAGTGTTTAAAGTTAACCTGATATTTTTGGAAATACACTCCCATTGCCTAGAACTGGAACTGCAAGTAGTGACCCCTCCCCTCCTTTTTTTCATGGCTAAGCTGCAGGGAGTTTGGTTTGCTGCCCTTCTCATCTTTTTTAAAATTATTATTTTTATTTATTTATTTATTTATTTATTTATTTATTTATTTATTGAGACAGCTTTTCACTCTATTGCCCAGGCTAAAGTGCAGTGGTCCGATCTTGGCTCACTACAGCCCCAACCTTCTGAGCTCAAGTGATCTGTCCACCTCAGCCTCCCACGTTGCTGGGACTGCAGGCACATGCCACCACACCTGGCTAATTTTTGTATTTTTTGTAGTGACAGAGTTTCACTACATTGCCCAGGCTGGTCTCAAACTCCTGGGCTCAAGCGATCCACCCGCCTTGAGCCCAAAGTGCTGGGATTACGGCGTGAGCCACTGCGCCCAGCCATGCCTATCAAATCTTTCTGCTGAACCTACTGACTGAGATCAGAGCTACTACCCTGGAGCTTAGCTAAGGAGTAAAGGGGAGCTGAGATTTCGGCCGTAAGTCCCTCTCTCCTACCATTCTATGCCACCCGCTTTTGGTCCCTAACATCCCTGGTTGTGACAGCTTCTCCTCCTTTACCCTGTGCTACTGTGACTTAATCACTTGTTAAGGAGAGATGGAAATGCCTGACCATGGCAGGCACAATTCTTTGTTCAGGAAATTGGAACCCATTGCTTCCTTCCTAATCCCAGACAGCTGTGCCTCTGGTTTTCTTTGTTTAGCCCAAGGCTGAGGGGTGAAGCTCTACTTCATTCTGGCCTGCAGTCTTTTTTCTATCTTGGGGTTTGATAATCCCTCTGGTATTTGGAGCAGACTCTAAGGTTTTTCTGTTTTATATAGTAAAACAAAAAATATTGCTTTTGTTGCTAATAAAAATTTGTCTGTAAGGAAATATTTCTCTTAATATTGGAGTTAATACTTTGAACATTAATGTGCAGTGTTTAGAAAGATTATAAAGAAATGAGATTGGCCGGGCGCCATAGCTCATGCCTGTAATCTCAGCACTTTGGGAGGCTGAGGCAGGCAGATCCTTTGAGGTCAGGAGTTCAAGACCAGCCTGACCAACATGGTGAAACACTGTCTCTGCTAAAAAATACAAAAATTAGCCAGGTGTGGTGGCGGGCACTTGTAATCTCAGCTACTTGGGAGGCTGAGACAGGAGAATCACTTGAACCTAGGAGGCGGAGGTTGCAGTGAGCCGAGATCACACCATTGCACTCCAGCCTGGGTGACAGAGTGAGACTCTGTCTCAAAAAAAAATTTTTTTTTTTAATTAAAAAAAAGAAATGAGATAATCAGTACTGTCATTTCCTTCATTAGAAGCGTTAGTACTGTTACCCTTTTTTACATGAATGAAAAGGATTGAAGACTACTTTTTGTTTTTTCCTTTGGGAAATAAATGCATGGATAATAACAGCCAAATAAAAAGTTTTAATTAGAATTGGATATCTCTATTCCTATTTTCATTCAACCAGTATACTTGTTGGAAGGCTATCAAAATGGACATGCCATTTAAATGAAAAATTTCCAATTGTGATAGACATGTTATTTATGAATATTTTCTGTCCTGAGGAAAATTAACTATTAGAACCAGTTGTAAAAGAGATGGTGGCTGGGCATGGTGGCTCACACCTTTAATCCCAGCACTTTGGGAGGCCGAGGTGGGTGGATCGCCTGAGGTCAGGAGTTTGAGAGCAACCTGGCCAACATAGTGAAACCCCGTCTTTAATAAAAATACAAAAAATTAGCTGGGCATGGTGGCAGAGTCCTGTAATCCCAGCTACTTGGGAGGCTGAGGCAGGAGAGTCGCTTGAACCTGGGAGGCAGAGGTTGCAGTGAGGCGAGATCACACCATTACACTCCAGCCTGGGCAACAAGAGTGAAACTCTGCCTCAAAAAAAAAAAAAAAAAAAAAAGAGAGATGGTATCAGGTACTGCAAATTCTTAGAGTAGCTTCTGACTTTGCTCAGCCTTATTTATAAGATTTATCTACTGGGAGGCTCATTCAATAGGCACTTGAGAGTCCGGTGTCATAGAAAGTTGTTAATTTTAGAGTTGTATGCAGCCTTCTTTAGCAATGAAAATCTTTTACAGAATAAGGCTTAAGCTTTTTCAATGTTTTTGACTGATTTAGTTAACAGCTTAATTTATATTGGCACCAAGCCCAGATCTAATGGTTATAAACTCAGTAGTTGGCTGATACAGTAAAAACTGTAGTTTCGTTTTCTTGTTGTTTGGTTTACCCTTTACATTCAAGAGTTTAAGTAGATCTCATATGGTCTGGTCACATGTGTTCTGAGTAGTGGTCATACCACACCAGGCATAGCATTTCTGCTCCGCTGTGACTTGATTTTTTACAGACTTAAGTTTTAGTACAACTTAATCTCTCAGAGGAAGGGTTAAGTTCCTGAGCATAGGAATTCATTTTGGGAATGTATTTTCTTTTCTTTCTTTTTAAAAATTTATTTGTAGAGACAGAGTCCCACTATGTTGCCCAGGCTGGTCTTGAACTCCTGGGCTCAAGTGATCTTCCCGCCTTAGCCTCCCAAGTGTTGGGACTACAGGCATGAACCACTGTGTCCTGCCTTCTTTTCTTTTTGAGACAGGTTCTCGCTCTGTTGCACAGACTGGAGTGCAGTGGTGTAGTCATAGCTTACTGTCACTTCAGATTCCTGGCCACAAGCGATCCTTCCACCTTAGCTTCCCGAAGTGTTGGGGTTACAGGCATGAACCATTGTACCTGGCCTCTTTTTTTTTTTTTTTTTTTCTTTTTTAAAAAATTCCTTTCTAAAGGGAAAAGAACCTAAGGTGGGTGGCTTCCTATAACCATTTTTTTTTTTTTTTGATATGGAGTCTCATTCTGTTGCCCAGGCTGGAGTGCAGTGACCACGGCCCACTGCAACCTCTGCCTCCCAGGTTCAAGCGATTCTGCTGCCTCAAGCCTCCCGAGTAGCTGGAATTACAGGCACCCGCCACCATGCCCAGCTAATTTTTGTATTTTTAGTGGCGATGGGTTTCGCCATGTTGGCCAGGCTGGTCTTGAACTCCTGAGACTTCAAGTGATCTTCCCACCCACCCACCTCGGCCTCCCAAAGTGCTGGGATTACAGGTGTGAGCTACCACACCCGGCCCCTATATCCTATTTTATAGTGTTTCTTGTTTATTATTTTCTCTTTGGATTTGTTTCATTTTGATCCTTGAAAATATGCAAAGGATGGAATCTTAATTTTGGAATTGTTTTTCTTGGTTGAAATTGGAATTATGTGGTTTTTATGGCATTTCCCCTAATCTATTAATGTGGGAGGAGGCTTGTGGGGAGGGAAGAGCCGTCTTTTTGAGATTATTAGGGAGGGAAACCATTTAATGACAGAATTGTATGACTACATTTTATTTTTATGAGGACTACTTTGTTAATTTACATTCTTGTGCTCTACATTCATGAAGTCAGTTATTTGAAACCATGTAATATATGTCAACTATTAAAGTTAAGTGACTTTTATCTGATAAGAGTTGTGTTAAAATAATCATAGAGAATTGATGCCTTTCCAGATGTTTTCCTGATACATCAGGGTTTTTTTTGTTGTTGTTTTTGCTGTTATCCAGCTTGGAGTACAGTGGTGCCATCATAGCTCACTGCAGCCCCAATCTACTGGGCACAAGGGATCTCCCTGCCTCAGCCTCCCGAGTAGCTGGGACTACAGGTGCACTGCACCTGGCTAATTTTTAAAATGTTTTTGTTGAGACAGAGTCTCGCTATGTTGCCCAGGCTTGTCCCGAACTCCTGAGCTCAAGCAGTCCTCCTGCATTGGCTTTCTAAAGTCCTGGGATTACAGACGTGAGCCACCAAGCCTGTCCTGATTTAGCAGTTAATTAAATATAAGTGGCCTCTCATTCTCAGGTGCTCTTACAGTATGAAAATGGAAGTTGTAAAGTTTGTTTTTAAAGTAACTCAGTGGAATGATAGACAGTGGAGACTTGGAAGGGTGAGGGAGTGAGGGTGGATGATGAGAAATTACTTAATGGGTACCATGTGTGTTATTTGAATGACTGATACCGTAAAATCCCTGACTTGTCCATTACACAATCTTGCACGTAATGAAATTGCCCTTATACCCCATAAATTTACATAAATAAAAGATCATGTCATCTGTTAAAAAATTTTTTAATAAAGTAACTCAGTTAAATTTATGGTATGTCACCATTTCTTGGCAGGACTTTGTGTCATTGTATCAAGATTTTGAAAACTTTTATACAAGGAATCTGTACATGAGGATAAGAGACAACTGGAATCGGCCAATCTGTAGTGTGCCTGGAGCCAGGGTGGACATCATGGAGAGACAGTCTCATGATTATAACTGGTCCTTCAAGTGAGTCTTGGTTGGGAAATTATTTGACAACAATTACAAAAGGGTTTCTTCATTTGAGAAAATATGTTATTATAAATTGAGTATTCTCTCAAAATAGGAGTAGCAGCTGAGGATACAATATGATTGGTTTCCTTACATATTCTTCATTGTTGAGCTTTTTAAGATATATCTTTCTATTACATTTGATACTGTGTTGGATTATAGTTCAGAAGAAAATTTGGCTTATTTATTTTTTGAGATGGAGTTTCGCTCTGTCACCCAGGCTGGAGTGCAGTGGCGTGATCTCAGCTCACTGCAACCTCCGCCTCCCAGGTTCAAGCAATTCTCATGCCTCAGCCTCCCGAGTAGCTGGGACTACAGGCATGCACCGCCACACCCAGCTAATTTTTGTATTTGTTTTAGTAGAGATGGGGTTTCACCATGTTGGCCAGGCTGGTCTCGAATGCCTGACCTCAAGTGATCTGTCCCCCTCAGCCTCCCAAAGTGCTGGGATTACAGGCATGAGTCACCGCGCCCAGCCTGGCTTCTTTATTTTTAAAAATAACTCCTATTGATAAGAAACAGTATACAAAAGTTTAGTCTGTTTTATTTTTGGTCTTGACTTTAAAAAAAAAAAAAAAGAAAAGCTATCCTTTCCATTATGCCACTTATCAGAATCAAGTATCCAAATTTATTTCTGGATATTTTGATTTCTCAAATGATTTAAGGATGATATGTAGAGTGTTTTTACTTACATGGATTGAATAGTTTGGAAAACTTTTTGTATTTTTAACATTGTATTTGTTTGTTTGTTTACTTATTCATTTATTTGAGTCAGAGTCTCGCTTTGTTGCCCAGGCTGGAGTGCAGTGTCACAATCTTAGCCCACTGCAACCTCCACCTCCCAAGTTCAAGTGATTCTCCCACCTTAGCCTCTCTGGTAGCTGGGACTACAGAGATGCACCACCATGCTCAGCTACTTTTTGTATTTTTAGTAGAGATGAGGTTTCACCATGTTGGCCAGGCTGGTCTCGAACTCCTGGCCTCAAGTGATCTGCCCACCTTGGCCTCCCAAAGTGTCAGAGTCTTGCTCTGTCACCCAGGCTGGAGTGCAGTGGCACCATCTTGGCTTACTGCAAGCTCTGCCTCCTGGGTTCACGCCATTCTCCTGCCTCAGCCTCCCGAGTAGCTGGGACTACAGGCTCCTGCCACCACACCCGGCTAATTTTTTGTGTTTTTTAGTAGAGACAGGGTTTCACTGTGTTAGTCAGGATGGTCTCAATCTCCTGACCTTGTGATCCACCCACCGCGGCCTCCCAAAGTGCTGGGATTACAGGCGTGAGCCACCGTGCCCGGCCTACAGCTTGCCTTCTTAGCTTGGTCAAATATCAGTGACACCCCTTCTCATGTGTATATTCACAGCAAGTTTATTATTTGTAGTGACTACATTGTATTTTACAGTATACATGTGCCATGGTGTGACATGTTGGGCTGTGTTAATAATCTCAAAATCTCAGGGAATTAAAACAGTAACAGTTTATCCTTATCGATACTTCATGTTCATCCTAGGTTGGTGGGGCCCTTGAACCATTTTGTCCTTAGTTAGGGGCCCAGGCTGCCTCAGCTTCCATTGTATGAAATGTCACTGGTCTCTGTATCTGAAGAACAGATGTGGCAAATTGTGCAGTGGCTCTCAAAGGATCCTCATGTGTATATATTCTCATGTGCGGGAGTTACTGAGTATGTATATCTTTTAATGGATAAGTACTGCCAAACTGCCCTCCAAAAAACAAACCTGATATTCTTATGTACAGTGTCCTGTAAGATAAGGTGATTGTCCTGGCCAACACTGGATATCATTAGTTTTAAAATCTTTATCACTATTAATAAATGAAAATTGATTATTTTAACTTCTATTTCCATAATTGGTAGTGTGTTTGAGATTTTTTTAATATAGACTTTGTTCTCTCTGCTTCCTTTTGTGTCACCAGTTCATTTAATATTACATGTAAGTACTTTTTTGCTCATGAGTTTCATTGTTTTATGCTATTGATGCACAGGTATACAGGGAATATAATAAAGGGTGTTATAAACATGGGTTCCTACAACTATCTTGGATTTGCACGGAATACTGGATCATGTCAAGAAGCAGCCGCCAAAGTCCTTGAGGAGTATGGAGCTGGAGTGTGCAGTACTCGGCAGGAAATTGGTAAGTGAAAGCTGTATTTGGCCAGCTGCTGTTTTTGACATTGTTTTAGTCAGGGGCAAATAATAGTAATATTGACCTAGAGTATTAAATATCTACACTTTGTCATGTCATTTAGATAAGGTGAAGAATGCTTTGTTTTTCTGAAGTGTGATGGATGATTTCAATGCTTTCAACACATTTTGAGATGTGTTTATCTTTCCCAATGTGTTATACATATAGAATGTCCCTCGAAAAATCCTGCCAGTGTTTGTTTCATTTATAACTTTAATGTTGATTTCATTGGCTTTTGCAAATGTTAGTGGTTAAGAGTGCCACTTATTAGGATGTTGGGCATATGAGAGTTAATCTGCTTTCATACTGGTACATGGGGGCTAATAATAATTCCTGCCTTATAGAGCTCTTTTAAGAATTACGTAAGCTAATCCATGTAGAGTACTTGGAACATAGTAGACAATAAATATAAACTCTTTTTATTATTGTTTTAAGTTTGTAAAATATAAAAGAGTAATAACTTTATATAAAGAGATTCAATTTATTTTAATTCAGCGGAAGATTTCAGATTGTTCCAATTTGATTCAGAGAACTGACAACCCTGGAAGTTATGAAAACTTTCCAAATACTTATTACTGTAAGCACAGTAGATTAAAAGAACAGTTCATTGTTAGTTATTTCTCAGGGTTCTAGGGATTGGCAAGCACAGTTGGGTGCTTCTTACCCAAGGTTCCTCTCACGGTTGCACTCAGTGGTGGCTGTATGGCTGGAGACATGAAGCCTTCTTCATTCGCATGTTTCACCTAGGCTGCGGTGGCTGGAGCTCTGTGTGGCCTCTCCATGTTTCTAGCTTGGGTTTCTTCATACCATGGTGGTCTTGGAGAGTTGTTCATCATGCATGGCTGCAGGCCTCTAGAGCAAGCATGCAAAGATACCTGACTGAAGCCAGGCACGGAGGCTCATGCCTATAATCCCAGCACTTTGTGAGGCCAAGATAGGAAGATCAGCTGAGGCCAGGAGTTCGAGACCAGTCTGAGCAACATGGTGAGACCTGTTCTCTAAAAAAATAAAGATAAAGTAGCCGAACGTGGTGGCGCATGCTTGTGATCCTAGCCATTCAGGAGGCTGAGGCCAGAGCATCCCTCGAGCCAAGGAGTTTGAGGCTGCAGTGAGCTATGATCGTGCTACTGCACCCTAGCCCATGACAGAGTGAGACACTGTGTCAAAAAACAAAAACAAGGATACCCAGTTGAAAGTTGGAAGGCTTTTTATGCCCTAGCTGTACAGGTCCCAAAGTATCATTTATGCCTCTTCTATTGGCCAAAGCGTCGCTAAGGTCAGCCCAGATTCAAGGGTTGTGGGGATTGCCCTCCTCCACCTCCAAATGGGAAGAATAACAAAGAATTTGCATCCATATTTAATCTTCCATAGCAACTCTGTCAGCTCACGAAATTTAAAACAACATGAAGACAGGGAAAAAAATAAAATTGTGCAGATTTTTATATCTATTTATTTAGATAGCTAGATACATGGATATATAGATAGATTGATGCATAGATGGATGCAGGGTCTCTGTTGCCCAGGCTGGAGTGCGGTGGTGCAGTCAGCTCACTTCAGCCTCAAACTTCGGTACTCCAGCCATCCTCCCACCTCAGCCTCCTAAGTAGTTAGGACTATAGGTGCACGCCACCATGCCCAGCTGATTTTTTAATGTGATTTTTGTAGAGATGGGGATCTCTTTCAAGAGGCTATGTTGCCCAGGGTGTTCTTGAAATCCTGGCCTCAAGTGATTCTCCTAACTCAGCCTTCCAGAACACTGGGATTATAGGTGTGAGTCACCATGCCTGGCCCCACCATCTAATTTTAAATATTTTCATTCCTCCTAAAAGAAATGCTATACTCAGTAGCATTCATTGGATACTGTTTCCCTTCCCCCTACAAGTCCTTGGCAACCAGTAGTCTACTTTTTGTCTTTATAGATTTGCCTATTTTGGACATTAAATATAAAAGGAATTGTATAACATTTGGTCTTTTCTGTCTGGCTTCCTTCACTAGCACAATATTTTCAAATTCATCCATGTTGTAGCCTGTAACAGCACTCCATTCTTTTCTATGACTGAATAATAATCCTTTGTGTGAGGGTGCCACGTCTTGTTTATCCACTTATCACTTGATGGTCATTTGGGTTGTTTCTACTTTTTGGCTATTGTCAGCAGTGCTGCTGTGAACGTGGGTGTACAAGTTTTTGTATGATATATTTTTGTTTCTCTTGGGTTTATACTTACTAGTGGAATTGCTAGGTCGTATGGTAACTCTGTGTTTGACTTTTTGAGGAATTGCTAAACTGTTTTCCAAAGAGACCGTACTGTTTTACAATCTCTCCATCGATGTATGAGGGTTCCTATTCATTTTTATATCATCTTCCAGTCATCTTGTTTGTAGCCCAACTTTAACCCTTGATTACTTTGCTACCTGTTCCCTCTGGTTTTTAAGCTTCTCTAGGGTTCCATACAGTGAATTTACTTGGTTTTCAAAGGATTCCACTCTATAAGGGCATAGATATGACCTTCTTCTAACTCTGTCATTTTCCAGTTGTATTAGTTTCCTGTGGCTGCTGTAACAAAATATCAGAACAGAGTGACTTAAAACAACAAAAATGTCTAGTCTCATAATTCTGTGGGTTATAAGTTTGGGGTCTAGGTGTCAGCAGGGCCATGCTGTCTGATGCTCTGGAGAAACCTTCCTAGCTTCTGGTGTCGACAGCAATCCATGACGTTCCCTGGCTTATAGCACATCACTCCACCACACGGCTGTCTTCCTGTGTGTCAAACATTGTCGTCTTCTGGCCGGGCACAGTGGCTCATGCCTGTCATCTCAGCACTTTGGGAGGCCAAGGCGGGCAGATCACTTGAGGTCAGGAGTTCAAGACCAGCCTAGCCAACATGGTGAAACCCTGTCTTTACTGGAAATACAAACATTAGCTGGGCGTGATGGAAGGTGCACGCCTGTAATCCCAGCCACTCGGGAGGCTGAGGCACGAGAATCTCTTGAACCTGTGAGGCAGAAGTTGCAGTGAGCCGAGATCACACCACTGCACTCCACCTGGGCAACAGAGTGAGACTCTGTCTCAAGAAAAACAAAAAAACAGCATTGTCTTCTGTATTCCTTCTGTGCATGTCTATCACTGTGTCCAAATTTCCCCTTTCTATAAAGACATTAGCATCCCCCTAATGGCCTCATTTTATTTATTTATTTATTTATTTATTTATTTATTTTTAAAATCTTTGTAAAAATTTTTTATTGATACATAACATTTGTACATTTGTGTGGGGTACATGTGATGTGTTGTTACATGTATAGAATGTGTATAGAATCAAGTCAAGGTATTTAGGGTACTCGTCACCCCAAGCATTTATTATTTCTATATGTTGGGATCATCAAGTCCTCTCGTCTAGCTATTTGAAATATACAATACATTGTTTTTAACTATAGTCACCCTACTCTGCTATCAAACATTAGAACTTATTTCTTCTAACTCTATATTTGTACCCATTTACCAGCTTTTCTTCATCTCCCCCGCTCCCCCTACCTCATCTCAACACACATCCTTCCAGTATTGTTTTACTCGCTACCTCCATGAGATTAAATTTAGTGAGGAAGGCATGTTAAAAGCTGACATAGGCCAAAAGCGAGGCCTCTTACACCAAGCAATTAGCCAAGTTGTGAATGCAAAAAAAGTTCTCGAAGAAAATTAAAAGTGCTACTCCAGTGAACCCACAAATTATAAGAAAGTGAAACAGCCTTTTATTGCTGGTAGAGAGAAAGTTTTAGTGGTCTGGATAAAAGATCAAAGCAGCCACAACATTCCCTTAAACCCAAATCTAATCCAGAAGAAGATCCTAATCGCTTCAATTCTATCAAGGCTGAAAGAGGTAAGGAAGCTGCAGAAGAAAAGCTTAAGCCTAGCAGAAGTTCATTCATGAAGCTTAAGGAAAGAAGCCATCCCCACAACATAAAAGTGCAAGGTGAAGCAGTGAATGCTGATAACTTCAGCAAGTTATCCAGAAGATCTAGCTAAAATAATTGATGAAGGTGGCTACAATAAATCACAGATTTTCAATGTAGATGAAACAGCTTTAAATTGAAAGAAGACACCATCTAAAACTTTCACAGCTAGAGACAAGTCAATGCCTGGTTTCAAAGCTTCAAAAGACAGGTTGACCCTACTTTTAGGTGCTAATTTTAAGTTGAAACCAATGAATGACCTCATTTTAATTTGATTACCTCTGGAAAGTTCCAGTTTCCAAAGAAGGTCACATTCTTCTGGGAATGAGGACGTCAAAATATCTTTTTTGGTGGGACACAATGGAACCCGTAGCATCATCCTTCTGTATATTTTCCATTTTCATTAATTGTGTTCAGAATTACAGATGTCCACTAATTAATAAAAAATTGAGCTTTTAGCTTTTATTTCTTGGTTATCCAGTTGTTTTGTGATGATTTTCAAGAGGAAGATGGGAGTAGAACATTTTTATTTCCCCCTGCCTTTAAAACAGAGTTTCTAACTGGCACTCCAGAAATGACAAGCCTTGTGATCTAATCCTGTGGTTAAAGGAGCATTGTGCAGTGGCGACATATAGTAAGGATACATTATGCCTTTATGGCATTTGATATTTTATAAAGTGCTCGGCTGGATGCGGTGGCTCACGCCTGTAATCCCAACACTTTGGGAGGCCAAGGTGGGTGGATCTCTTGAGGTCAGGAGTTTGAGACCAGCCTGGCCAGCATGGTGAAACCTGTCTCTACTAAAAATACAAAATAGTCAGGCGTGGTGGTCCGCACCTGTAATCCCGGCTACTTGGGAGGCTGAAGCAGGAGAATTGCTTGAACCCAGGAGGTGGAGGTTGCAGTGAGCTGAGATTGCGCCACTGCACTCCAGCCTGGGCGACAGTGCGAGACTCTCTCTCTCAAAAAAAGAAAAAAAGCTCAAACGTATTATCTCTTTTGATCCTCACAACAATGTCATGAGGTAGATAGGGCAAATTATTATTGCTATTTAGAAGTATTTAGCCCAGAGAGTTCCTAAGGGCTTTGATTAAGCAAGCCTTAAGGACACATGGCATCCAAGTTTAGCATTCTTCTTTCCCGCATCTTTTCTCTCTGTAATGTCATTTAGTCCTTAAAGATTTGAGTACCAATATAAAATTGCGGTACAAATTTACCAGTCAGTTCACAGTGAGGGAAGAACCTTTTTTTTTTTTTTTTTTGAGTCAGAGTCTCGCTCTGTTGCCTAGGCTGGAGTGCAGTGGTGCGATCTCAGCTCACTGCAACCTCTGCCTCCCAGGTTCAAGCGATTCTCCTGCCTCAGCCCCCGAGTAGCTGGGATTACAGGCACACGCCACCATGCCTGGCTAATTTTTGTATTTTGAGTAGAGACAAGGTTTCACCATGTTGCCAGGCTGGTCTCAAACTCCTGACCTTAGGTGATCCGCCCTCCTTGGCCTCCCAAAGTGCTGGAATTACAGGCGTGAGCCACTGCACCCTGCCAGGAAGAAACGTTTTTACCTATCTTTTGCTGTATAACAAACCATCTCAAAACTTAGTGGTTTAAAACAGCAACAGATTTATTTGCTCATGATTCTGCAATTTAGGGAGGGCCTGATGTTATCTTAGCTCCATGTGGTATTGGATAGGCAATTATGACTGTGTACAGGGTATCCAAGATGTCTTAACTCACGTTTGACACTTCAGCTGGGTGGCAGGAAGGGCTAAGGGCTGGCTGGGCATCTCTGTTTCTCTTTCTCTCTGTCTCCCCCTCTCCTTACGTCTTTCTCTCCTCCTTCCATAGTCTCTTATCCCTCAGTTCCCATCCCCCCGCCCATGTTCTGTTTTTGCAACAGGCCAGTTAGATTGTTTTACATAGCAGCTGACTTCAAAAGTGTAAAAGCAGATTTTGCTAGGCCTCCTAAGGCCTAGACCTGGAACTAGTATGCACAAACAGGAATGGGAGAAATTTTTCGCAGCCCCCTTTGGGGAAATTCCACTGCAGGTGCTGAATCAGATTTTATTCAACTATTGTGTTCTTTATGAGCACATATTACTCTTCACAATATTATGAAGAATATTACTCTTCATAATATTGACTCCTTCATAGATCTTAGTCTGAAAAGGACACAACACATATACTATGATTTCTTTTAATAAAGTGATGAGTAATTCTTAAATTCAGGATTTTGTGATACTGACTTTATTAACTTCTTCACACAGGAAACCTGGACAAGCATGAAGAACTAGAGGAGCTTGTAGCAAGGTTCTTAGGAGTAGAAGCTGCTATGGCGTATGGCATGGGATTTGCAACGAATTCAATGAACATTCCTGCTCTTGTTGGCAAAGTAAGATACTCTGTCATTTATGAAAACTCCCTCATGTATATCTTCTTTTGTTTTGAAAAGCAGTCAGAGTGAGCTAAAAGCTGTTATAAACTTTAGGCTAAACATAGTTTAGCCAAAGATATTTCTACCACAAATTGTTTTTCTTTTTTTTTTTTTTTTTTGAGATGGAGTCTTGTTCTTTCGCCCAGGCTGGAGTGCAGTGGCACCATCTCAGCTCACTGCAGCCTCTGTCTCTTGGATTCAAGCGATTCTCCTGCCTCAGCCTCCCAAGTAGCTGGGACTACAGCTGTGTGCCACCACGCCTGGCTAATTTTTTGTATTTTTAGCAGAGGCGGGGTTTCACCATGTTGGCCAGCCTGGGCAACATAGTGAGGCCTCGTCTCAATTTGATTTTATTTTTTAAATTAAAAACAATTTGTGGCCAGGCGCAGTGGCTCACACCTGTAATCCCAGTGCTTTGGGAGGCTGAGGCAGGTGGATCACCTGAGGTCAGGAGTTTGAGACCAGCCTGTGTTTATATATTTATATACATATATATAATATTGTATATTATATATATATATAACATATATGTATGTTACATATTATATATATTACATATTACATATTATATATATAATATATATATCCCCAAGTGGGTAGTGTGTGTGAGAGGGCACAATCTGTATGTAAATGTAAATTATATTTCAGCAGATTGGTACTCTCATCCTGAAAGGCCCCTTGAGGTTATTTATTCTCATGTTTAACATGACACTTAGGAATGGTATATTGAAAACGTGGTGGATTAACTCAAGCAGGAGAATTGAGTTTTTGTTTTTTGGTTGTTTATATGGTCACACTTAGCTGTGTGACTGTGAGCATGTCAAATAATCTTTCTGATCCTCCAAGTTTCTTTTGTAAAATGAGGTGGTTGAGCTAGATTAACTCTAAAGTCCTTTTTAGTTATGCAGTGTATGGGTCTGTAAGGTACAGATGGGACAAATAGAAAACAAACAGCAAGATAGGAGATTTAAACCCACCTGTGTTGATAAACATTAAATATAAATGGTTTGTACATTCCAATGAGAAGACAAAGATTGTCGGATAAAATTAAGTAGGTTTCCTAATGTAAAATAGCAACCTATTTTAAATATGAAGACACAGAGGTTAAAAGGAAAAGGATAGAAAAAAAATACAGCATGCAAATAATAATCAGAAGAAATGTGAAGTGCCTGTATTAATATAAACAAAGATTTCAGAGCAAGAAATATTTCTGGTGATAAAGAACATTGTGTAATGATTAAGGAATTAATTCATCAAGAGGTTATAATTTTAAATGTGTAGGTGCTTATCCCATTTATGCCTAATGTTCCATTATTGGAACGCTAAGCATGTGGGAGTTATTTATATCCTACTGCTCAAGGTCATCGCCAGGGTCTGATTTTGCAATTCAAAAAATTGTAACCTCTGGCATAAATGGGTTATTAACAGAGCGTCAAAGTACGTGAAGCAGAAATTGATGAAACTAAAAGAAGTAGACAAATAGAAAATTGTAATTAGAGACATTAACCCCTCTCTCTTTTTTTTTTTTTTTTTTGAGACAGAGTCTCGCTCTCTTGCCCAGGCTGGAGTGCAGTGGTGTGATTTCGGCTCACTGCAAGCTCTGCCTCCCGGGTTCACGCCATTCTCCTGCCTCAGCCTCTTGAGTAGCTGGGACTACAGGCGCCCACCACCACACCTGGCTAATATTTTGTATTTTTAGTACAGACGGGGTTTCACCGTGTTAGCCAAGATGGTCTTGATCTCCTGACCTCATGATCTGCCTGCCTCGGCCTCCCAAAGTGCTGGGATTACAGGCGTGAGCCACTGTGCCCTGCCCTAACCCCTCTCTCTTAATTAACAGAAGAATGAAACAGAAAATCAGTAATGATATAGAATGTTTGGAAAACACTGTCAACCAGTTGACCTAATTGAGAGTCATGAAACACTTCACTCAACAACAGCAAAACATTTACTACCAAAGACCATATTCTAGGCCATTAAGCCAGTTTTGGTAAATTTGAAAGTATTAAAATTATTCAAAGTATGTTCTGTGATCACAGTGGAATTTAAATTAGAAATTGATAACACAAAGATATCTGGAAAACCTTTGAATATTTGAAAATTAAACAATATATTTCTAAATAACCCATGGGCCAAAGAAGAAAAAACAGGGGAAAATAAACATATTTTGAACTAAATGGAAATGTAACCTATTATAGTTTGTTGGATGAAGCTAAAGCAATGCTCAGATGGAAATGTATAGCATTAAACGTTTATACAGGTTGAGCATTCCTAATCCCAAAATCTGAAATCTAAAATGTTTCAAACTCGTAAATATTTTGAGTGTCATCATGACAGCTCAAAGAAAATGCTTAGGGGTGCTAAACCAGTAAATATAATGCAAATAATCCAAAATCCATAAAAATCTGAACTCTGAAACACATCTGGTCCCAAGCATTTTGAATAAGGAATATTCAACCTGTATTAGAAAAAAAGTAAAGCAGCCAGACTCCATCTTAAAAAAAAAAAGTAAAGCTTGTAGCTTAAAAAATTAGAAAAAGAAAAACAAATTAAACCCAAACTAAGCAGAAGGAAGAATATAATGATGATAAATGCAAAAATTAATGAATTAGAAAATAGACAATAGGAAAATTAGTGAAACCAAAGCTGATTCTTTGAGAAAATGAATATAGTTGATAAATCTGTGGCCAGAATGGTCAGGATAAGAAGAGATAAGGTGCATATTACCAGTAACAGGAATGAGAGAGGGGGACATCACTACACGTCCTATGGACATTAAAGGATAATAAGGGAGTATTAAGAACAACTTCATGCCAAAATATTCAACAACTTAGATAAAATACACAAAATTCCTTGTAAGACATAAATGTATGGTTCTTTGACTTCACGTTATAATACGTTGCTGTCCTGCATTTTGAAGTACAAGCCTGAGATTCTTATTTGTTAGAATTTTTAACACTAGAGGATTAGAAAATCTCATCTTGCTCTTCTCTCTGTATGCTTACAAGCTCTATCAGAGGATTATCTAGAATTAGACGTTTTCTACACAGACCTGGAAGATACAACCATAAGGATTTATATTCCAGGGCCGGGCGCAGTGGCTCACGCCTGTAATCCCAGCACTTTGGGAGGCTGAGACGGGTGGAGATCGAGACCATCCTGGCTAACAGGATGAAACCTTGTCTCTACTAAAAATACAACAAATTAGCCGGGCGTGGTGGCGGGTGCCTGTAGTCCCAGCTACTCTGGAGGCTGAGGCAGGAGAATGGCGTGAACCCGGGAGGCGGAGCTGGCAGTGAGCCGAGATCGGGCCACTGCACTCCAGCCTGGGGGACAGAGCGAGACTCCGTCTCAAAAAAAAAAGATTTATATTCCAAATCAAACTATAATTGAAATATTATTAAATATTGTTTAATCTGTTAAAGACAGTAACTTATCCAGTTTTAATGATCCTTTGAATCTGATACTGAATTTCCATGTGAGGTGGTTAATTGCTCAGTTTGATGGCAGGGTGGGGCAGTATATTGATTAAGAGCATAGGTTCTGGAAGCAGACACTTGTCTTATTTAATAATTATTTTGTGGCCGGGCGCGGTGGCTCACGCCTGTAATCCCAGGACTTTGGGAGGCCGAGGCGGGTGGAACACGAGGTCAGGAGATCGAGACCATCCTGGCTAACACGGTGAAACCCCGTCTCTACTAAAAATATAAAAATTAGGCGTAGTGGCAGGCGCCTGTGGTCCCAGCTACTCGGGAGGCTGAGGCAGGAGAATGGCGTGAACCCGGGAGGCGGAGCTTGCAGTGAGCCGAGATTGCGCCGATGCACTCCAGCCTGGGCAATAATTAGTATTGCTATTATTATTTTGTTACTGTGCTTGTGACCTTGAGCAAGATTCTAAACTCCTGAACAAGAGTGTCCTCATATGTAAAGTGGGAGTGATAATAGTGTCTGCTACATAGAATTATTGTGAGGATTAATAGTAATAATGCTTTTAAATCTTTTAACATGATACCTGAAACATTAAGCGCTTAGATGTTAACTGCTAGTATGAATACCTTTTATTTTTGAACCAAAGATTTAATAAAGCTTAAGAATAAGTTCTAAGGGAAAAAGACAGATTGATACATTGAAATGCTGAATAAGGCTGTCTAAAAAAGGCTGTCTAAAAAGAGTTCCTTTTTGCCAGAAAAAAAGAACATAATGCTTTTGCAGGTTTGCCAGAAAAATATTTAGCTGGAAAGAGAAGAAAATAAAATTTTGTGCGGAGGGGAAGGGAAGGGAGGGTTCTTTTTAAGATAGAGTTGAATGCCAAGAGTGGTAAGTAAAGAATTTGACTTGCTGAAGAGAAATCTGACTTCTCTTTATTTTCTCCCCCAGTTTCGCTTTTTCAATTTTAACACTTTTTTGAAACTTTAATTTAGACTTACAAAAAGAGTTACAAAAGAGTACAGAGAGTTCCTGTATACCATTCATTCAGCTTCCCTTTATGTTAACATCTTGCATAACAGTGGAACTGTTTCTTACAGCTAAGAAATTAACTGTGACACAATACTATAACTAAAGTACAGGACGTATTTGGTTTTCACCAGTTTTTCCGCTTCAGGATCCAGGTGAGGATCCACATTGTCTTTAGCTGTTGTAGCTCCTCAGTCTCCTCCAATCTGGGATAGTTCCTGTTTTTCTTTGTCTTTCATGACCTTAATACTTCTGAAGGGTACTGGTCCCTTATTTTGTAGAATGTCTCCAATTTGGGTCTGTCTGTTGTGTTGTTATGGTTTGATTGAGTCCGTGCGTTATTGAGAAAGCTACCACAGAAGTGATACCATTCTCAGTGAATCATGCGAGAGACTATGTGGTTTTGATACATATTACTGATGATGTAAATCTTAATCGCTTGTCTCAGGTGTCAGCGGGGATTTTCTACTACCAACTTACTGCTTTTCTCTTTGTAATCACCATATATTGTGGCAGAGATACTTTGGGACTGTATATAGCATTTTGGATTAAACTTTCACCCACTAACTTTAGTATGCATCTGTGATCTTGCCTGTGGCAGTTATTACCTTGGTGTTCTTTTTTTTTTTTTTTTTTTTTTTTTTGAGATGGAGTTTTGCTCTTGTTGCCCTGGCTGGAGTGCAGTGGCGCCATCTCAGCTCATTGCAACCTCTGCTTCCTGGGTTCAAGCAATTCTCCTGCCTCAGCCTCCTGAGTAGCTGGGATTACAGGCACCCACCACCATGCCCGGCTAATTTTTTGTATTTCTTAGTAGAGATGGGGTTTCACCACGTTGGCCAGGCTGGTCTCAAACTCCTGACCTCAGGTGATCCAGCCACCTCAGCCTCCCAAAGTGCTGGGATTACAGGCGTGAGCCACCGCACCCGGCTTACCTTGGTGTTCTAATGGTGATTTTTCTATTTTTCTCATTCTTTCTATACTTACTAATTAGAATTTTTGTGTAAGGAAGAGTTCTTGCTTCTCCCTTATTTATTTCTGTCGTTGTGGGTTTGTGAATATTTTTATTATTTGGCTTATAATTCAACACAATTGCTTCTTTTTTGTTGCTCGAGTTTTAGTTTTGGCCATTGGGAGCTGCTTCAGGTGGGTACCTGTGTCCTTTGAATATATAATAACTTTTTTTTTTTAAAGCATTCTTATACTTTCTGGCATGATAAAATGCTCCAGGATCATCTTATATTTTCCCTATCCCAGTTTTGGAATTAACCAGTTCTCCAAGAAGTGCTGGTTCTTTTTTTTGGAGAATGATATTTAGAAACCAAGGTCTGGGAACTAGGTGTGTTTATTGCTGAAGGAGTATCACTGCTTCTCACCTCTCAGTGACTAGAGCTAGAAAATGTATGTATATATGCGAACTCATGCATACACACACATCTGTGTGTGTGTGTGTGTGTGTGTGTGTGTGTGTGTGTGTGTGTGTGTGTGTATGCATGCATAAAGATTTGAAAGCCAGGAGTCTATTGATACTGCCGGCTCTAGTCTTCTCCTTTTCCTTATTCTCCTTCTTCTCCTTCTCCTCCTTCTCCTCCTCTTCCTCCTTTTCCTCCTCTTCCTCCTCTTCCTCCTCCTCCTCCTTTTTTTTTTTTTTTTCCCCCCAGACAGAGTCTCCCTCTGTTGCCCAGGCTGGAGTGCAGCAGCACAATTTCGGCTCACTGCCTCACTGCCTCAGCCTTTTGTGTAGCAGAGATTTGAGGCGCCTGCCACCACGCCCAGCTAATTTTTTTGTGTTTTCTTTTTAGTAGAGATGGGGTTTTGCCATGTTGGCCAGGCTGGTCTCGAACTCCTGACCTCAAGTGATCCACCCACCTTGGCCTCCCAAATTGCCAGGATTACAGGCATGAGCCACCATGCCTGGCCACTTCATTTTTAATCTGTACATTTTTAACCAGGTAGCTTTTTTATCTTAATAAATACTATGTGCATAATAAAAATTTCAAACACAACTACTGTTACAAGTTTCTTAAGTATTCCTTTAAGAATATTCTGTAATAAATAAGCATGTATATATATAGTTGACCCTTGAACAACATGGTTTGAACCATGCAGGTCCACTTACACGTGGATTTTTTTCAACCAAATATGGAGCAGAAATACAGTTTTCAGCCAGGCACAGTGTCTCACACCTGTAATCTTGGCACTTCGGGACGCTGAGGCGGGTGGATCACCTGAGGTCAGGGGTTCAAGACCAGCCTGGCCAACATGGTGAAACCCCATCTCTACTAAAAATACAAATATTAGCTGGGCCTGGTGGTGGGCTCCTGTAATCCCAGCTAGCTGGGACGCTGAGGCAGGAGAATCGCTTGAATCTGGGAGGCAGAGGTTGCAAGTGAACCAAGATCGCACCACTGCACTCCAGCAACAAGAGCAAGACTCCATCTCACACACACACATACACACAATATAGTATTCATGGAACACAAAACCCAAGTATATGGAGGGCCTGCAGGTCCCACAGGGCCAACTGCAGGACATGAGCATGGATGGATTTGGATAAATGTGAGGGTGAGGCAGTTCTGGAACCAAGTCCTCCTGTAGACTGAGGGATGACTGTGTGTCTTTGTATCTTCTCTCTTCTTTTTATTCTCGTGGGAGCATGCTATATACTTTCTGCACCCTTTTCATCTAATTGGATATTATGAGGCTATTTTTGACAGAGAAAAACCTTTTTCTGAGTTGAGATCTGACAGGTTGAAGGGCCCCCTGAGAGATGGAAGAGTAAGAACTGCAGTGAAAAAAAAAACCAAACCGAGATCTTCAACCTTTTCTTAGTTGCCTTAGCAGAAACTGATGTTTGTGTGTTAAAGCAAAGCTTGTTTGGGGATTTTTAAGACAAAACTGAAGCCTACAGTCCATGCTATGTGGGGAAAAAGTTAATAAGTAGGATCTTCCCTGGACTCTGGATATGAGTAGTAGTGAGAGAATGCACCATTTCCACAGACATGACCCCATCAGCTGCCATTTCCCACAGATAAACAGAACATGATACTAAAACTACATGGAATTCTCTCACGTAAAGAAACCAAAACGTTTTAGAGACGGATGTGTCATGTTTTAGATACAAATAAAGACCTGTTGCCATATATCTGAGTATTTACATCAGTCATGGGACTGAAGATATTAAATTAAAAGGCTAGAATTTTGCATCTACTTTTAAGGTGTCTTTACAAAAAACAAATGATCGTGTACACCTTTTTCCTCTTCTTAAAATTGATCACTGTGCTGTTGTGCACAATTTCCTTAATAAGATACAGCTATTAGTGTTTGTGGCATTTTGTGATTTGTGTAACTAACCCTTTCCCCTCCAGCTTCTTACCTTTCTGTTCCTGTGATGTTGCAGGGTTGCCTGATTCTGAGTGATGAACTGAATCATGCATCACTGGTTCTGGGAGCCAGACTGTCAGGAGCAACCATTAGAATCTTCAAACACAACAGTGAGTTTGCTGAAGAATTCACTGCTGGCCTTGGTTTTGCTATTCTTTCGATCCATGGTGGGAGTTAACATTAGTTATATTAGCACTTGAAAGTATAAATGAAGACAAAGTAGCAACATTTAAAATGTTCTTCCGGTCCAGTCTTTTAAAATTAGAGGTTGATGGAAGCCTCTTGTACAAATATAATACTATCCTTTTATTTGACCATGAAGTTTTCCATCCCATTTCCTTGTTTACAGATCCGTTACTCAAATACATTTACTCGATGACTATAGTGTATCTTGCCATAAGACTAACAGTATTTAAGTGAATAAATCAAGATCTCTGACTGGTTAACGAAGAGACTTAATAGATAAGCCAGTCCTTACAATATAGTGGACAGGTGCTGAAGTACAGCTATGAATAGATGCTGTGGGAGCACAGAGGAGGGTGGCCCTGAGCCAGACCTTTCCTCCCTCAGTGGAAATATCTTTGTGTATTATTAAAATGATTATTTAGAATAAAAATGCGTAACTTTCATAGTTAAAACACACACATAGGCAGAAAAGGTGACCAAACTGTATGTTAATAGCATCTTTTCCCAAAATGTGTACAGGCACAGACAAAAGTTTGGAAGAATGTATACCAAAATGTTAGGTGTGTACCCGTGGATGGAAGGATCATAGATGATAACATCATTTTTGTTTTTGTTTTTGTTTTTGTCTTGTCTAAAATGTTTTACAGTGAGAAATGAGATCTTATTAAATATCACTATGTAACCTGTTATTTTCTTTTTTTTTTTTTTGAGGCTAGAGTCTCGCTCTGTCACCCAGGCTGGAGTGCAGTGGCTCAATCTTGGCTCACTGCAACCTCTGCCTCCCGAGTTCAAGCGATTCTCCTGCCTCAGCCTCCCGAGTAGCTGGGATTACAGGAGCGCGCCACCACACCTGACTAATTTTTAGTATTTTTAGTAGGGACGGAGTTTCACTGTGTTGGCCAGACTGGTCTTGAACTCCCGACTTCAGTTGATCCTCCCGCCTTGGCCTCCCAAAGTGCTGGGATTACAGGTGTGAGCCATCATGCCTGGCCTCTTTTTACAATACACGGTGATTGTTGTTTGTCATTACATGTAACTCTATCTCATTCTTAAATACCAGTGTGGCAGTTAGTGCCTGGGTGTGCCCTCATTTAATTGCCCCCTCAATTGGACATCGGGGCTGTTTCTAAATTTTTCTACTGGGAACAGCACTACAGTTACAGTTTTGTACCATCATCTGGTTAGTGCCTTAGGATAAATTTCTAGCAGTCTCAGAATGCATGGTTAAAAGAGTATACATTTTTAATACTTTTCCAAATTGCCTCTAAGCATTATATGAACTTTTTTTTTTTCACTTTTATTTTAGGTTCAGGGGTACATGTACAGGTTTGTTATATAGGTAAATTGCATGTCTCGGGGGTTTGTGTACAGATTATTTCGCCACCCAGGTAATCAGCATAGTACCTGATAGGTAGGTAGTTTTTCGAACCTTACCCTCCTCAACCTCCCCTGCCTCACTCTCAAGTAGACCCCAGTGTCTGTTGTTCCCTTAGTCGTGTCTGTATGTACTCAGTGTTTAGCTCCCACTTACAAGTGAGAATATGTGGTATTTGGTTTTCTGTTCCTGTATTAGTTTGCTTAGGGTAATGGCTTCTAGCTGCATCCATGTTGCTGCAAAGGACATGATCTCATTCTTTCTTATGGCTACATAGTATTCCATGGTGTATATGTACATATATATATATATATTTTTATTTTTATTTTTGAGACAGAGTCTTGCTCTGTCTCCCAGGCTGGCATGCATTGGCATGAACTCAGCTCACTGCAACCTCTACCTCCCCAGCTCAACCGATCCTCCCATCTCAGCCACCCTAGTAGCTGGGACTACAGATGTGTTCCACCACGCCCGGCCAAGTTTTTTGTTTTTTGTTTTTTGTGTTTTCTTTTTGTATTTTTTGTAAAGATGGGGTTTCACCATGTTGCCCAGGCTGGTCTTGAACTCCTGGGCTCAAGCAATCCACCCACCTTGGCCTCCCAGTACTGGGATTATAGGCATAAGCCACCACGCCTGGCCCACATTTTTTTAATCCAGTCTACTGTTGATGGACATTTAGATTGATCCTATGTCTTTGCTGTTGTGAATAGTGCTACAATGAACATACACATGCTTGCATCTTGTATGAATTTTTCCTCAACAACATGAGATTGACTGTTCCTACTCACTGGCCAACATAGGCTATGGTGAATCATTTTAAATCTTTCCAAATCTAATGAGGAAATAATATGTTAGTTTTTATTTCATTGCTTATTAGATATAGAACAACTTTTTGCATTTTTACTGTTTTTTTAACTCTACTTGTAAGCTAATGTGTTTGTATTTCTTTATAAATTGGCCATTTTCAAATTGTTTCTATTTTTTACTGATTATAAGAGCCCTTTATATTAATTATCTTTTCCTTTATGTTGCATTATTTTATTATTATTTTTTTGAGACAGGGTCTTGCTGCATCACCCAGGCTGGAGTGAAGTAGCAGAACCACAACTCACCACAGCCTTGACCTCCTAGGTTCAAATGATTCTCCTGCCTCAGTCTCCTGAGTAGCTAGGACTGTAGGCATCCACCACCATGCCGGACTAGTGTTTTTTATTTTTTATAGAGACAAAGTCTCGCTGTGTTGCCCAGGTTGGTCTTGAACTCTTAGGCTGAAACGATCCTGCTGTCTCAGCCTCCCAAAATGCTGGGATTACAGGAGTGATTCACCATGCCCAGACTGCACTATTTTTATATTTTTGACTTTGTTTTCAGTGTCTTCCTGTACAGACTCATGAAAATGTTTTTGTTGCCACACTTACTGTTTTACGACTTTCGGATTTTACACAATACCCTCCTCATTCTCAGATCATAATGTTATTCTTTCATGTTTTCTTCTGGGAGTTTTGCGATATATTTTTTATTTAAATTTATGTGGAATTTGGGGGCATAACATTGGAGAGATTGAATTTTTTTTTCTAAGTAGATAATATGGTTAAGCATTCTGCTATAGGTATTTCTTTTTTTTGAAACAGTCTTGCTCTGTCACCCAGGCTGGAGGGCAGTGGCGTGATCTTGGCTCACTGCAACCTCCGTCTCCTGGGTTTAAGCGATTCTCATGTCTCAGCCTCCCAAGTAGCTGGAATTACAGGTGCCCACCACCACAACCGGCTAATTTTTTTTGTATTTTTAGTAGAGACAGGGTTTTGCCATGTTGGTCAGTCTGGTCTCGAACTCCTGACCTTAAGCGATTCACCCGCCTCGGTCTCCCAAAGTGCTAAGATTACAGGCGTGAGCCACCACACCTGGCTGATGCTTCTTTTATCTAAAATTTTGACCAGTATTATTTTTCTCCTCCTTCTATATATAAACAGAGAAAACTAAAATAATTCCTGTGTTTTTACTTGTCTTCAGCTGATCGCCATACATTGCTCTCTGCCTAAGAACTGGAGGCTTTGCAGGACTTGGGGAGGCCAAGGAGGGCAGATCACCTGAGGTCAGGAGTTCAAGACCAGCCTGGCCAAAATGGTGAAACCCCACCTCTACTAAAAATACAAAAATTAGCTGGATGTGGTGGCATGCACCTGTAATCCCAGCTACTCAGGAGGCTGAGGCTGGAGAATCACTTGAATCCAGGAGGCGGAGGTTTCAGTGAGCAGAGATCACGCCACTGCACTCCTGCCTTGGCGACAGAGCAAGACTCTGTCTCAAAAAAAAAAAAACAAAAAAACTGGAGGCTTTGAGTCAGGACGTAATTTACTTCTGTAGGGAACATCTCCTGAATCTTGATTAGGTCGTATGCAGATTTTTTTCTTAGAAATTACTGAATGTGTAAGCACAGTCACAACCTTAGACTATCTTATTTGTGTTTGTGTTCTGTGTTTTTATTACCTTATCTCTTTTTCTGTCAAAATTGTTTTCTGCAAAGAGCAAAATCATGTACTTTTATAACTCCTTCCTCCAGTTACAAGCAATACAGAATACAAAATCAGATTTTATGATAGGGCCAGGCGTGGTGCTCACGCCTGTAATCCCAGCACTTTGGGAGGCCGAGGCAGGCGGATCACCTGAGGTCAGAAGTTCAAGACAAGCCTGGCCAACATGGTGAAACCCCGTCTCTACAAAAGTACAAAATTAGCCTGGCGTGATGGCGGGTGCTGGTAATCCGAGCTACTTGGGAGGCTGAGGCAGGAGAATTGCTTGAACCTTGGAGGTGGAGGCCTCAGTGAGGAGAGATCACACCATTGCACTCCAGCTTGGATGACAGAGGGAGACTCCATCTCAAAAAAAAAAAAAAGATTTTATGATAGGATGTCTCCCACCCCTATTAAGTATTCCCCAGACTTAATGTTGCTTAAATTTGGGGGAGTTTTTTTTAAGGACTTCATTTCAGGGCAGGTATTTTAAGTATGAAATCTGTAGTGTGGCAACAATGGTCTTCAAAGCATTTGTCTTTAACAAGGAAATTATGATCATCATTAATGGCAGTAGCAGCCAAGTTGTTTCCAGGCCCATTAACCACCATAAGAACCAACAGAGCCACAAGAACTTGGTTGTTTATGGACAACTGATGAAGTCAAACATGGAACAATTTCAACTGATTGTCAGGCTTGCTTAACACACAGACTTATACATGCCCCAGACGGGTGTATTTTTAACCCAGTACCAAAATAAAACTCTTTAACAAGCGTTTATTGAGTACGTCCTGGGTGAAAGGAAATGGAGCACGCACTGTGAAGTTTTTTTACGCCTTGCGTTTGTTTTTTTAGGAGGAGTATGTGTCTGTGATGGTTTATTCACACTCTCTCGCTCTGTCTTTTTTACGCATTTATTTCCGAATGACTCACTGGGATTAGAGATACAGTTTGATTCTGTATTTTTCGATAAACACACAGAAGCTAACTTAATGGCAGGGTATTTAACATGAGACACTGGTCATTTTATAAGGAAGCTAATGAACTGAGTTAGCCACCACCGTCCTTTAGTCAAGTTTCGATGGTTTTGAACATTTGTTACATTTTGGATTTCAATTCAAGGTGGCAATAATTCACCTATTTTGCCCTGCTTTTTTCTGCCCAACTCTAATTATGTCCTTTGCTATCTGAGGCATGGTTTCTGAATGAGAAATATATCTCTGCATTTCCGGAATAAAGTTAGGAAAGAGGAAGATGCGGTATAACTGTTCTTTTTTGTGCTCTGTAGATATGCAAAGCCTAGAGAAGCTATTGAAAGATGCCATTGTTTATGGTCAGCCTCGGACACGAAGGCCCTGGAAGAAAATTCTCATCCTTGTGGAAGGAATATATAGGTAATCCTGCTTTATTATTCTTACCTTTGTGACTTGGCCCCATGAAGTCATAGAATTTTTTAACTGAAGGGAACATTAGTCTATCCCCCTCTGGAAACTAAGGAGACAGTGTTTATAAGTCGCTAAAATACCTGGAAACAGAGTCAGCATTAGAACAGAAGTCTTTTTGTCTAGTTCTTCGTTATTCTTTCCATAATACTACATGGTCACCAAATCCCCTTTCTATTTGAGTCTTTTATTTTTCTAGTTTGTAGAGGGAACCTATATGTAGGGGCAAGAATTGGAATATATATTTTAATATGTCAAAACAAATTACACACCATTTAATTTTAATAAATATTTTATTTTAGGCTGAGTGCAGTGGCTCACGCCTGTAATCCCAACACTTTGGGAGGCAAAAGTGGGAGGTCGCTCGAGGCCAGGAATTTGAGACCAGCTTGGGCAACATAGTGAGACCCTGTCTCTGTAAAAAATAAATAAAAATTAAAAAGAAATATTTTATTTTGGTTAACCTTTACAGCTTTTACACGTATTTTTACCACCTAATTTTTTTTGTTCTTTTGTGTCATTTTAATTGCCTGTGCAACGTGATGCAAAGTCTCATGTTGCCTGTAATTACAAGCTTTAGAAGAATCTGCTGTGACCTTAATTATTTTTGTCGTGAATTAAGATTGCTTGTGTTTGGTGCTTGTTTTTTGTTTTTTGGTGGTTTGGGTGGCTTTTTTTTTAAGATGGAATCTCGCTGTGTCACCCAGGCTGGAGTGCAGTGGCGGGATGTCGGCTCACTGCAACCTCCGCTTCCCGGTTCTCCTGCCTTAGCCTCCCGAGTAGCTGGGATTACAGGTGTGTGCCACCAAGCCCAGCTAATTTTTGTATTTTTAGTAGAGACGGGGTTTCACTGTGTTGGCCGGGCTGGTCTCGAACTCCTGACCTCAAGTGATCCGCCTACCTCAGCCCACCAAAGTGCTGGGATTACAGGTGTGAGCCACCGCGCCCAGCCAGTGCTTGTTTTAAAAGTCCAGTTTTCTTTCCCCTAGTCTTTTGCCTTGCCATGGCTTCATCTACCTTTGTCAGTTTAAGCCACAGATACAGTTGTCAGACCATTTAAAACCCAATAAACTCAGCCGGGCAGGGTGGCTTATTCCTGTAACCCCAGAACTGTGGGAGGCCAAGGCGGGTGTATCACTTGAGGCCAGGAGTTCGAGACTAGCCTGGGAAACATGAGGAAACCCTATCTCTACTAAAAATACAAACATTATCTGGGCGTGGTGGTGGCGGGCACCTCTAGTCCCAGCTACTTGGGAGGCTGAGGCACAAGAATCGCTTGAACCCAGGAGTCAGGGATTGTAGTAAGCCGAGATTATGCCACTGCACTTCAGCCTGGACAATGGAGCAAAACTCTGTCCCAAGAAAAAAAAAAGAAGCAGTAAACTCAATAATAATGAAGTGCCAAACTCCCAATTTTGATTTAAAAAGTCTCAGTGTATATGTGTATATATATATTTTTTCATGTTTTGCCAGCATGGAGGGATCTATTGTTCGTCTTCCTGAAGTGATTGCCCTCAAGAAGAAATACAAGGCATACTTGTATCTGGATGAGGCTCACAGCATTGGCGCCCTGGGCCCCACAGGCCGGGGTGTGGTGGAGTACTTTGGCCTGGATCCCGAGGATGTGGATGTTATGATGGGAACGTTCACAAAGAGTTTTGGTGCTTCTGGAGGATATATTGGAGGCAAGAAGGTAAACGAGCCATGAGAATGAGCGATTAGAGATAAAGTCACTGGCAATTAGATTTGGTACCTCAGGCCTAGCAGATGGGGCCCTGAACTGGGATGTCCGCAAATTTGCCTCTGGTTTAGGCTCATAATACCAGTGAGTGACTCTAATGTCTCCTCACTGAACTAAAGGCTGGTTCTGTTCATTGTTTGTTGTTTTCTTATTTGAGCTTCTTTCTAAGCTACATGCTGATCTGAGATATAGAATACCCTCTTGTGTGAAAGAACACACAGTGGTGCTCCCTGCCCGCCCCAGCCTTCTGTTGGGTTTGCATTGTGCTCACAGTTTCAAAAACAGTGGGGTTGTCATGGGAGCCCATGGGAATAGCAGGTCACCTTGCCCTTGGACACAAATATATCATGAGTGAACATGGAGACAGGAAGCAAAAAAGTTGTGCCAGCTGTGGGGTACTACAAAGCATTGTATTTTTCAATTTTTAAACTATGAAGTTGCCTTTTCTGGGTCTTTGTAGTCAGAAAAAAATCATACGGTGAATTTTGATGCAGGTAAGAATCTGTGGTGTGGTCGAAATGGTGAACCATAAAGACAGAGGCCTGGGTCTGAATATTTCTCGGCTTACTTTGTTAGACCTCAGGGAAAACATTTAACCTCCCAGTTTCCTTGTCAGTAAAATGGAGATAAATATGCCCAGCTTGTAAGATTGTAGTAAGGGTTTAAAAAGTAATATATGTCCATGCTACAACGTGGGTGCACCTTAAAAACATTATGGTAAGTGAAAAAAGTCACAAAAAGTCACATATTGCATGTTTTAAAATATGTGATACCTAGAATAAGCATAGAAACAGAAAGTAGATTAGTAGTTGCCGGAGGCGGAGGGGATAGGGAAATGGAAAGTGAATGCTAATGGGTATGAGGTTTCCTTTCAGGGTTATGGAAATGTTCTAAAATTAGTGGTAAAAGTGGCACAACTCTGGATATACTAAAAACCACTGAATTGTGCTTTAAAACGGTGAATTCTGTGTATGTGGCTTATATCACAATGAAGCTGTTATTTTTAAACGTTGATTGCAATGTTAGGGAAAAAATAATGTATGTCAGGTATTTGTATATGGCACAGAGGAGGTGCTCATAAATGTTCTTAATTTTGCTTCACCACTCAATATTCGGAGTATTAAAGAATGGTTATGCTGGGCACAGTAGCTCACACCTGTAATCCCAGCACTTTGAGAGGCTGAAGTGGGAGGATTACTTGAGCCCAGGAGTTCAATACCAGCTGGGCAACATAGTGAGACTTCATCTCTACAAAAAAGTAAAAAAATTAGCTGGGTGTGGTGGTGGCACATGCCTGTAGTCCCAACTATGGGGGAGGCTGAGATGAGAGGATTGCTTGAGCCTGGGAGATCAAGGATGCAGTGAGCCGTGATTACACCACTGCATTGCAGCCTGGGCAACAGAGCAAGACCCTATCACAGAAAAAAAGGTCATTCTTTTAATACTTGATTGCCTGTTAGAGAGAACTCATTTTCAGTGACTTTTAATCAGCTTTGATAGATTTTTTTTTTTTTTTTTTTTTGAGACCAAGCCTTACTCCATTGCCAGGCTGGAGTTCAGTGGCACAATCTTGGCTCACTGCAACCTCCGCCTCCTGGGATCAAGCGATTCTCCTGCCTCAGCCTCCCAAGTAGCTGGGACTACAGGCACGTGCCACCATGCCCAGCTAATTTTTTGTATTTTTAGTAGAGACAGGGTTTCACCGTGTTGGCCAGGATGGTCTCGATCTCTTGACCTCGTGATCTGCCCGCCTCGGCCTCCCAAAGTACTAGGATTACAGGTGTGAGCCACTGCACCTGGCCAGGTTTGATAGATTTTTATCTCAAATATTACCTTTTTGTTAATGGGACCAGGCTCACTTTGGAGAGTTGTTTTTTAGTAAGCTTTGTGGCTGTGAACCAAAGGATAGAAAAATAATACTCTGGGAGATCATTAAAGTACAATATATTTGTGCTTTTGGTTTTTTTAGTACAATTTTTAATATTTTTGAGATAAAACTGTTTCATAGCCACATTTGTGTCCCCCTAATTTGTTCTGGTACATAAGCTTCTTGTGTGTGCATTTTAAAGATTTGGTGAAATTAAAAGATATCAGAGAATAGGGATATACAATTAAGTTTTTTTGAAATCCTTGTAAATGACAGAGTTTTACTTTATTCAGTGAGATGTCATTGGCATTTTAATAAAATACCTTGTAAGTTTCTATTTCACATTTATATCATTTTATACATTTCTGCATATCTGGAGGAAGTTCTAATGCTCTTAAAGTTGATGTTAGAGAACTGTTATTTAGGGGTAGAAGGATGGGCTTTATAGGCACACAGAGCTGCAGATGACATTTTCTGTGATACTTGGAATTAAATCATTATATCTAAAAAGCAATCCAAACACCTTGTTTAATTCAGCTGTGTTCATTTATTTTTAACTTTTTTTTTTTTTTTTTTTTTAAGACGGAGTCTCACTCTGTCCCCCAGGCTGGAGTGCAATGGCGCAATCTCAGCTCACTGCAACCTCCGTCTCCTAGGTTCAAGCGATTCTCCTGCCTCAGCCTCCCAAGTAGCTGGGATTATAGGTGCCCGCCTCCACGCACAGCTGATTTTTGTATTTTTAGTAGAGATGGGGTTTCACCATGTTGGTCAGGCCAGTCTTGAACTCCTGACCTCAGTAGATCCACCCACCTTGGCCTCCCAAACTGCTGGGATTACAGGCATGAGCCACCATGCACGGCCATATTTCTAACTTTAAATGATACATTCTCCAAATTTAGAGGGGTTGTTTTAAAACTAGTTTTTCTCTTATGTTGTTCCATGTTTAAAAAACAAAACCAAACCTAAGAACTTTGCCATGTTTCTGACCCAGTTGTTGCCAGCGGTATGCTTCGACCATGTTGGTTGACCTTGTATCTCAGATTAGTGTCCCTATTCCAGTGCCATTGAAGTGAGGAGTCCTCTAGAACTTAGAAGGAAAGGACTGACATTGCCGGTGAATGCAAGAATTGTCTCTACTTATCTGCCTCTGTGAACTCCCCAGGAGCTGATAGACTACCTGCGAACACATTCTCATAGTGCAGTGTATGCCACGTCATTGTCACCTCCTGTAGTGGAGCAGATCATCACCTCCATGAAGTGCATCATGGGGCAGGATGGCACCAGCCTTGGTAAGTCTTTCTTTTCTTGAAACATTGCATAAGTCCACCTAGCAGCCAAACGTGCTGTTTTTCTTGAGCTTTTTTCCTAAAATAAATAGTCAGGTTTACTAATAGGCAGAGCTGGCTGGTGTGTGGTTTCCATGGACACTTTTTTAGTGTGTTTGATACATATGCCATGAGAACGACCCTGGCTCACTTTCTATGGAATTTTCTTGTTTATAGATGGGAGGCTTTACTCTTACTATCCTACATACCCTCTTAACTCAGAGGTAATATACCTTCGAGGTTTTTCTTGAATTACATAATTTTATGTGAAGGTATAATTCACTGTTAGTGATGTTTCATTAACAGCATAGTTAAGAGCTGCTGTTTTCATAAATTAGTATTCCTGATTTAATGCCTTTTTAAAGAGTTTCTACTTTCATATACGGTAGATAATAAATGACATCCTGAATCAGTTTATTTTGTCTTTGATGGGATTTGTAGTCCCAACTAGATGCCTTGATTTAAACATACTACTGTGAACAGTGAAGTTCAGTGTTCACTTTCTGACATTTGACTTTTATTCTGCAACACCAGAGGGCAGTATTGACTGCAGAACAGTGGTACTAAAAGGGGAGCAACTGGGTGTCTGTCTTTACTTTAAAAAATATTTTCATTGCATGTATGAGACAATAATTTCACTTGTCGCTTTTTTTTTTTTTTTTTTTTTTTGAGACGGAGTCTCACTCTGTCACCCAGGCTGGAGTGCAGTGGTGTGATCTTGGCTCACTGCAAGCTCTGCCTCCCGGGTTCACACCATTCTGCCTCAGCCTCCCGAGTAGCTGGGACTACAGGCGCCCGCCACCACGCCCGGCTAATTTTTTTGTATTTTTAATAGAGACGGGATTTCACCGCATTAGCCAGGATGGTCTCGATCTCCTGACCTCGTGATCCGCCCTCCTCGGGCTCCCAAAGTGCTGGGATTACAGGCGTGAGCCACCGTGCCCGGCCCAGTTGTTGCTTTTTTAATGCTTGTAAAGTCAGTTTGGCATTTGTAAAAGATTTCACATTATCAGCCATGAGCTCTCCACTCTACAGTTATGTAATACTTTATTGTAAGATTGATTTGGCTTGCATCGAATAAAGTGGCACATCTGATTTTGGTTGGTTTAAGACTGTTTTCTTTCTTTCTTTTTTTTTTTTTCTGGTTTTTGTTTTTGAGACAGAGTCTTGCTCTGTCTCCCGGGCTGGAGTGTAGTGGTGCGATCTCAGCTCACAGCAACCTCCGCTTCCCAGGTTCACATGATTCTCCTGTTTCAGCCTCCCAAGTAGCTGGGACCACAGGAGTCTGCCACCACACCTGGCCATTTTTTTTGTATTTTTTGTAGAGATGGGGTTTCACCATGTTGCCCAGGTTGGTCTTGAACCCCTGGGCTCAAGCAGTCTGCCTGCCTTGGCCTTCCAACGTGCTGGAATTACAGCTGTGAGCCACCACACCCAGCTGACTGTTTTCTTTTCTTTTCTTTTCCTTTCCTTTTCTTTCTTTTGAGATGGAGTTTTGCTCTTGTTGCTCAGGCTGGAGTGCAATGGCATGATCTTGGCTCACCACAATCTCTGCCTCCCAGGTTCAAGCGATTCTCCTGCCTCAGCCTTCCCGAGTAGCTGGGATTACAGGCATGCGCCACCACACCCGGCTAATTTTGTATGTTTAGTAGAGACCGGGTTTCTCCGTGTTGGTCAGGCTGGTCTCGAACTCCCGACCTCAGGTGACCTGCCTGCCTTGACTTCCCAAAATGCTGGGATTACAGGCGTAAGCCACCGCGCCCAGTCGACTGTTTTCTTAAATCAGAATTTTACCTTAACATTTTTTCTGATCTGTGCTAGATCCTTGTTATCTCTAATGAGAGATTTTTGGAAATAGTGAAATGTGATCATTTTCAGTTTTGTGAATTAATTCCTTGAAGAAGTTGTTTTATTAATGTTGCAAACACATAGTGGAGCCTGTGAATAGCTCCCTGTTAATAACAGCTATATCTCCTCTCCTTCTGATGTGGTGTTAGTGGAAACTGTGTGTGAATCTGAGAGACAGACATATATACACACATATATATACATACAGCTAGCATTTCTCTAGGTACTTCACATAGGCACACTTACCTTACTGATTCAGCACACAGGTTTAGGTGACTAAGAAATGGCTAAGAGCTATCAAAGTTAACATTGGATAATTTATTTGCCCTGTTCCAGAACATGGATCTGTGTGACACATTACCCCCAGATAAATGACTTATCTGTACTAAATGATGAAATCTGGGCTGTGCTAGTAGTGAGAAAATGAAACATGGTAATTATATATAGGCTTTGGATCAGCACAAGTTTTCTAGTTTTTGCCTCTAGCCACCCCCAAAGCTTAGTGATGTGACACAACAGCCATCTGATTATGCTCACAGATGCCACAGGTCAAGAATTCGGTCAGGGCACAGCAGGGATGACTTGTCTTTGCTCTGTTGTCTGGGGCTGGCCTGGAAGACTCAAGTGTCTGGAAAGACTGAGATGGTTGGTGGTTGGGATCATCTGGAAGCTTTTCCACTCACATGTCACCTGGGCTGGAGTGACTTGGAGCCAGGCTCAGCTGAGGCTGTTGACCAGAGCACCTTCATGCATGTATCTTTTCAATGTGGCTTAGGCTCCTCATGACATCGTGACTGTGTACCCAGAAAGGATGCTTCAGAGAGCAAGCATTCCAAAGAACCTGGCGGAAACCCCATGACCTTTTCTGACCTGTTGTTAACAAGCAGGTCACTAAGGCCATCCCGGATTGAAGGGGTGGGGAACTAGATTCCACCTCCCCAGTGGAGGCATGTCAAAGAATTTGTGGCTGGTTTTTTTTTTTTTGAGATGCAGTCTCAAGGAGAAGTACCATGCTTTTTTAAACAACCAGATCTTGGGAGAACTCAGAGCGAGAACTCACTCATTACCCAAGGATGGCAGCAAGCCATTCACGAGGATCCTCCCCATGATCCACACACCTCCCACCAGGCCCTACCTCCGTCATTGGGGATCACATTCCATCCTGAGATGGACAAACATCCAAACCATGTCAGTGAATATATTACATTTATCATTAAAACTTTGTTATTGTTGGATTCCAGAGTACATTAAGTACCTGGTATTGAAAGTAAGGCTTAAACATGTATATGTGGTTGCTTATTGTTAAATGTTTTCATCTTTTTGTGTGAAGAAATGTTGCTCTTTGGTGAGAGTACAGAGCCTTCAGAAAAGCTGCAGCATGTAAGGGAAGGTGAGATCCAGTTTCCACACGACTTTGTGAGCGCTCCTTTCCCCTTCCTCCCAACTTTTTCCGCATTTCCCCTCCAGTTTCTATCCTTTTCCCAAGGAAGAACAGGACATATGACTAGGTTGACAGATCTTGAAAGGCAACTTCACTAGGATCTCAGGTGAGATAATAATGAATGGGAATTGTGCTGCCAGGATGCCTGTACCTGGAGTGGGAATACTGAGCACAGGCCAGGGAGTAGAAAAAATGAGGCCTAGGAAATTCTGTTAAATTCCACTAGACATTTGAAATTCTAACTTTTACTTTACACATCACTAATCCGTGTCCACTAATGGAAATTTAGCTGTAGTATCTACATACGAATCAAGGCAAAGTGTTTGACCAAATCAACTAAAATTTTGCTTTTCCATTTTCCAGAGCTGTGCTTTGATGTATTTTATTTCTGTCCAAAGGTGTAGTTAATAATAACATGCATAGCACCCAGCTTAGTGTGTGACATCTAGGATCCTTTCAGTAAATTTATTGAATGACTGAATGAATGCACGCATGATTGGCAATACCAGAAAATCAGTGGGTTCTTCAAGTACTTTATTGTAACATTGCTTGAATAGTTGAATGTTAAGCCAGAATGACCAAATTATGGAACCAAATTAACTAGATAGGTACATTTTAATAGATACATTTTTAAATAATGTCAGAACGCTTTATAGAGTTTTGTACTTCTTTGTTTTGAAAGGAACTGGGTCCTTGCAGGCAGCTACTGATGTAGGAGAAAAAAGACTACCCTGAGCAGATTGAGGTTTAATTAAAACTAGGTTTGGCTCATTTGAATTAATTCCAGTAATAGACTTGTTAATTAGGTGTTAAATGATCACCTTGAGAATACCGGGGAACTGTCAAAAACTAAGAGAACTGAGACACTTAAAAAAAAAAAAAAAAAAAAAAAAAAAGACATTCCAGGACAATGCAGTGGCACATGCCTGGAGTCCCAGCTACTCAGGAGGCTGAGGCACGAGGATCGCTTGAGCCCAAGAGTCCTGGGCTGTAGCACACTGTGCCAGAGACGTGTCTGCACCAAGTTCAGCCATCAGTATGATGACCTCCCAGAAGTAGGGGACCACCAGGTTGCCTAAGGAGGGGTGAATTGGCCCAGGTTGGAAACGAACAGGTTAAAACTTCCCCTGCTGATCAGTAGTGGGATTACGCCTGTGAATAGCCACTGCACTCCAGCCTGGGCAACATAGCGAGACCTTGTCTCTTTAAAACAAAACAAAACAAAAAAACATTCCAAGATTCCCATGCAGAAGGGTTAGAAGTGTTGAAAAAACACAGCCTTGCTGGGAGGGGGTCATAAAGAGAGACTTTCCTGCCTGTCTTCAGGGCTGACAGCTTTTAACCCTCCCGTCAAGCACCATACTTCCTGAGCCCAAGAACGTTTGGGTGTTGACTTTCTTCTTTGTTGTGCTTTAAAGTAATTTATTTCACTATTAGAAATTCATCGAAATAAAAATTAAGTTTTCTGGTAAGCACAGTTTTGTTCTTACCCACAGTAGAGTTTAGCAGTTTATCTGATGCTGGGAATCAGACTCGCTTCCTCCTGTTTTGTGACTTTCTGCCTAGAATGCTGTTGTTTGGAAAAAAAAAAAAAAATACTTGTTTCCGCCGGGTGCGATGGCTCACACCTGTAATCCCAGCACTTTGGGAGGCCGAGGCAGGCGGATCACCTGAGGTCGGGAATTCAAGACCAGTCTGACCAACATGGAGAAACCCTGTCTCTAATAAAAATATGAAAATTAGCTGGGTGTGGTGGCGCATGCCTGTAATCCCAGCACTTTGGGAGGCCAAGGCAGGCGGATCACCTGAGGTCGGGAATTCAAGACTAGCCTGACCAACATGGAGAAGCCCTGTCTCTAATAAAAATACGAAAATTAGCTGGGCGTGGTGGCGCATGCCTGTAATCTCAGCTACTTGGGAGGCTGAGGCAGGAGAATTGCTTGAACACAGGAGGTTGCGGTGAGCTGAGATCGCGCCATTACACTCCAACCTGGGCAACAAGAGCGAAACTCCATCTCCAAAAAAAAAAAGTGTTTTACCATTTGTTAAACACTTATCAAGCAACAAGCAACTACTCTCTACATAGTGGTAGATATGCTGTGTGGGAGATGCAGAGTTGAACAATAGGTGATCTTTGCCTTTGAAAAAACAGTCCAGTGGTAGGGGTAAGATTCCCGGGAAGAACTAGTCTCAGAGGCACAGATAAATTCTTCCTTTGTTCAGCTTGTCTTTTCTCAATTTCCTCCTCCATTCTCTTCTACAACCTCCTCCTTCACTCACTCCCACTCCCCTAAAACCTTAAACTTCCTTAAACCAGCTAAGTTTTTGAAGCAAACTCATATTTTAGATTTCTTATATAATAACTTTCTATATAAATGAAATTTTTCTGTGGATACTGTCACTCTAGTAAATTATCAGCAATCAAAGCAGCTTCTTGATTATTTTTTAAAGCAGCTTCTTGATTATTGAGCACAAAAGGCCTTTTAACCAATGGCTTAAGCCTTCTGAAATCAGCAAGCAATATGACCACCTTACAGGTGGAGAAATTTGAGCTCATGTATGGAACAAGTTTTCTCAATATCTTGTCTCCAACTAGAATGTAGCTTTTCTAACTCCATCTGCTTCTACTTCTGAGGTTGCATGATGATAGTTAGCATTTTATTAAAACAGACTATTTTATAATCTGTTTCTAATTTTCTGCTAATTTTCCAAAGTTTAATTGTGAGTAATCAGCCCAACAAATGAAAGCTCTTTTGGGCATTTGCCTCCCTGTTTTCTCTCCATGGATCAGTAGCCCTTTCCCCACCTTTCTGCTTCAGAAATGGATTCTGAATACTCAAGAGCTTTTGCAACATGGTGTGTCTATTTTTTATTCCACTGCTATCTTTTTCTTCCAAATCCAAATGCTATTAAAAGTTTCTTGCAACAAGAACATTCTCTCCTTTTGTGCCTCGTTTCAGAGTTAGTTTGAAGCTAGCAATTAGGATGCCCAGTGTCTATTGTTTGTTGAAGAATAATTCTAACTTTCTAAACCTTCACATAATTGGAATTGCTTTTCTCCCCCCAGAATTATGTCTGAGGGCTTTATTTTTCATCAAATAGACTTGATCCTAGCTGTTCCCCAACTTTATAGCAGATACTTAATATGTATAAACCAGTGACCTGATAGATGGAATCTGCTCAAAGTAAGAACCTGATACCCGGCCGGGCACGATGGCTCACGCCTGTAATCCCAGCACTTTGGGAAGCTGAGGCGGGTGGATCACCTGAGGTCAGGAGTTTGAGACCAGCCTGACCAACATGGCGAAACCCTGTCTCTACTGAAATACAAAAAAATTTAGCCAGGCATGGTGGCGCATGCCTGCAATCCCAGCTACTTGGGAGGCTGATGGAGGAGAATGGCTTGAACCTGGGAGGTGGAGATTGCAGGGAGCCGAGATCACGCCATTGCACTGCAGCCTGGGAGACAAGAGTGAAACTCCCATCTCAAAAAAAAAAAAAGTGCCCGATACCCTACTAAGAGCTTGCCGGATTTGAAAGCTTTCCAAAAAGGAATTGATTTTTTTTTAATTGTCACCTATAGTTTTTCTAATTATCTAAATATTTTATTTGTATCTACCTCCCTGCTATCTACTTTGGCAGTAGAGTGAGGTGTTAAAGAAAAAATTATTCCTGTCACTTGTGAAACATGATAAGACAGACTTCCTTCAAGGGGGCCATGGTAATAAGCATAGGGATGACTGCAATGGGGTCTTCCAGTGGGGGAGAGAGGGTGGGCTGCAGTCTGACTCCAATAAGGACAGATGAGGATTTACAGCCAAGGAACAGGGTGGGAGTGAGTAGATAGAAAAATACTAAGAGGAAACATCAGGGGTAAGGGGGATGCTTGCCTTCAGCATTCTTGTTGAAGGTAGGCCAGGGTGATAAGATACCAGGGGTAGTCATGTAGGGGATTTTCTCTAATCTGACTTAGCAGGATTATTGCTCAAACTGGATTCTGCAAGAATGGAGAAGGAGGCGCAACGTCAGGACTTTATCAGAAAGGACTCCAAGAGGAGCCTGACTCAAGTTTGGTCAAAGGAGAGAGTCTTTGTCAGGTTCAGAATGACCTCATTAACATGAACTCTTTAAGCCCCTGTTCTCAGACTTTGTCCATGGACCACCTGCATCAGAGGTACTTTTAGTACAGTGGTTCATACCTTGCTTACACACAGGAAAGCTTAAAAAAATAGTGCCAGTGTTAGAGACCTTCTGTAGACCCATTGAGTATCTCAAGGCGAGGCCTCCCTGCCATGGCATGGTGTTATTTAAAAGCACCCCAGATGCTTCTCATGTAAGGCCCCATTTCAGAACCACTGCTGCTTGTTAAAAATGAAGATTCTAGTTTGTTCCACCCACCCTACTGAGTCTTGGTGGATGAGGCCCTAGAATATGCATTGAAAAGAAAACCTTAGGCTGGATATGGTAATCCTGACATTTTGGGATGTAATCGTAACATTTTGGGAGGCTGAAGCTGGAGGATCACTTGAGGTCAGGAGTTTGAGACCAGTCTGGGTGACATAGTGTGAGCCTCTGTCTCTACAAAAAATTCTAAAAATTAGCCAAGTGTGGTGGTACACGTCTGTAATCCTAGCTACTTGGGAGGCCAAGGCGGAGGATTGCACAAACCCAGCTATGATCACACCACTGCATTCCAGCTTGGATGAGAGAGGGAAACCCTATCTCTAGAAAATAAAAAAGAGGATTGTCTTTTTGACAATCCTCTTTTTTTCCTTTTAACTTTTTTACCTCAGTACCAAAGCAGCTCTACTGATTGATGGTAATTGAAAAAGGAAAAGAAACTGGAAGTCAAGATACAAATGAGGGAGATGTTTGGCTTGTAAGACAGGCATTTGCTGGCAGAGCTAAGTTGCCATTTTTGGTTGTTTCTGGAACTCTAAATGCCTGGGATGCTGACACTCCCTTCTGAACAGCTGATGATTCTGGCTGATTGAATCAGTGGCATAGGTGGAGAAGTTAGAAACCAGTTAGGTGCAGCAGGAAAACAGAACTAAGCATTCAGAGATCTGTGGTCATGGTTCCTAAGGCTAGTTGGAATTAATTATTTTTGTTTTACTTTTTTTGGGGGGGGCTGCTTGTATTTTTATAACCTATTAATCCTCAAATTACTTAGTACATAACCTACAAATGGCCTTGCCCACTATAAAGTTGTTAAAATGTTTAGTATTAACCGTTTTGTAAAACTCTGATTGTCTTATTGTATTGCCTTCTACCTCTAAAACTGTTAACTTAAATCCAAGCCAAGCCTTTACCAGAGATTACCTTTATTTGCTAGCTGTCTTCATCTGTGGGTAGATACATTACTACAGTGTTTACGTTCCTTATCTCTTTGTCTCAGAGTAGCCTGTGATATGTTCCAGCCCCAACAGAGGACAGTAGAATGGTCCATTAAGACTTTCTGAGGCCAAGGTGGGCGGATCACTCGAGATCAAGAGTTGGAGACCAGCCTGGCCAACATAGTAGTGAAACCGTGTCTCTACTAAAAATACAAAAATTAGCCGGGTGTGGTGGTGCACGCCTGTAGTCCCAGCTACTCAGGCGGCTGAGGCAGGAAAATCACTGGAACCCGGGAGGTGGAGGTTGCAGTGAGCTGAGATCGTGCCACTGCACTCCAGCTCAGGCAACAGAGTGAGACTTGGTCTCAAAAACAAACAAACAAAAGACTTTCTGTCCTGCCTGTGGGTTGGCACCCGTTAAAACTCAGTTCCTTGATTTTTCACAGGCACTTGGCCTCTTTTCTGCCTTTTGTGGAGGGCCCTCTGTTTCTGGCTGTGCATTAGCAACCATTCTTTTAAACTTCTGATTATATTGAATCAGCAACTTTAAGCTTGCCCCTGCTGCTTGTCATACATCCTGTGGCAGTCCTCAGGAAATCCTAGTTTTTGGCATTGAAATGAATTAAAGGATTAAGCCACAAGAGGGTGGGGGTGATAAACTGTGCTTTTAAGAGGAATTTACTGTGCAGTACTTGGTGTTAGCAAAAGCAGTTCTAGTTCTTACAGGGAGATAGGAAACCAAGGGGCTGCTTTAGAACAGCATCCCTAGGATATGAAGACGCAGATCTGTCTGCTTTGATGTTCTTTAGCTTGACAGTGGCCCCGGCTGAGCACTTTGATATTTGTCGCCAGTCTAGCAAAATAGGGGTTGTGTCTTGGAGATGGTAAACCTAGTTCCCGTTGCTTTGCTTCAGTGTTAGAAAATTACTGAACTCTTGCTTCCTGGAAGTCCCTTATAAATCTCCCTTTTACAAGACTGTTCTCTGGGGCACGAAAATGCCTTTGCTTATAAAGAGCCTGTTGAAGGTCCATTTATTTTCCTTTTCTTAACAGAAAGATTTTCCAGTGCCATTTAGTTAGGACTTACGGGAAACATGTTGTTAAAATCAATCTGTCCTGTTAGCTAATATTTCTTTTATTTTCATTTTGAGCTTTTAGATAAGATTCTTTATCTTTCTGTGAGATAATGTGAAAAAAAACACAAAAGAAATAAATTCAAATACCAGTATACTCTGGTTTTTAAAAATATCTTCACTGACTTTTTTTTTCTTTACATGCTCTACTCTCCCTCTCACCCTACTTCCTTCTTCACTTTTCACTTGGTACTTTCAGATATTCTTTGTGGGTTTTTCTTGGTTTTTTTTTTTTTTTCCGGACACAGAGTCTGTCTCACTCTGTTGCCCAGGCTGGAGTGCAGTGGCACAATCTTGGCTCACTGCAACCTCCGCTTCCCAGGTTCAAACCATTCTCATGCCTCAGCCTCCTGAGTAGCTGGGACTACAGGCGCGTGCCACTATGCCTGGCTACTCTTTGTATTTTTAGTAGAGACGGGGTTTCTCCATGTTGGCCAGGCTGGTGTGGAACTCCTGACCTCAGGTGATCCACCCGCCTTGGCCTCCCAAAGCACTGGGATTACAGTCTTGAGCCACTGCACCTGGCCTAGATATTCTTAGATATATTCATGATGCATCCCATCTAGATGCTTGTGATGAGTATATAATTTACTGATCTGGAAAGTGTGACAAGAGTTTAAAGTGTTATCTGCTGCCTTCTCCCCCCACTTTAGAGCTGTTCAAAGAAAGTGACCATTGATCATTTTAAAAGATGAGCAAAGGAAAGACTGCTTCTTTTTTAAAAAAGAAAATTTGATGACCTACTGTTAGAACACATTTCCACATGGACCCCCCGCTTCTAAATGGGTGTATATCCAGATCATCCAGTCTGTGTGCACAGAGTCCTTGCATTTCTAAGTTCAAAATAGTAATTTAAATGAAAGTAGGCCATCATAAGGCATTGCTAGGAAGAGGTTACTCTTGATAGATGAATGTGCTGCTTTTGGTAAGAATTAGTTTGTTATTTATATTTAAATTTTGTAGGCCGGGCCTGGTGGCTTAAACCTGTAATCCTACCATTTTGGGAGGCCAAGACGGGTGGATCACTTGAGCCCAGGAGTTCAAGACCAGCTTGGGCAACATGGTGAAACCCTGTCTCTACAAAAAAATAAAATAAAATACAAAAATTACCCAGGCATGGTGGCTTATGCCTATAGTCCCAGCTACTTGAGGTGCTGAGACAGGAGGATCACTTGAGCCTGGCAGGCGGAGATTGCAGTGAGCTGAGATCACACCACTCCAGCCTGGGTGACAGAGTGAGTCCCTGACTCAAAATAAATAAATAAATAAATAAATAAATAAATAAAATGTTTTGCAAGCATACCTTCTGAGTACAGTTACACTTTGCCTTATTCTTAGATTTTACATGTTACACATATTTTTGGTTCTGTGAACAGATTATATATGGCATATTTGTAGTTCTAAACTACTTCTGCAACTAAACATGCATTATATCACTCATTTCCCCTCAGTGGAACTGGTATATATGGACTTATGCCATAATTAAATGTTAGCAATGAGAGAGATCTACCTTTAAAATAATAAAATGTGCTGGGTGCGGTGGCTCACGCCTGTAATCCCAGCACTTTGGGAGTCTAAGGTGGGTGATCGCTTGAGGTCAGGAGTTCGAGACCAGCCTGGACAACATAGCGAAACCCCATCTCTACTAAAAATACAAAAATTAGCCAGGTGTGGTGGCGGCCGTCTGTAGTCCCAGCTACTCGGGAGGCTGAGGCAAGAGAATCACTTGAACCCAGGAAGCAGAGGTTGCAGTAAGCCAAGATCACACCACTGCACTCCAGCCTGGGCAACTGAGCAAGACTCCGTCTCAAAAAATTTAAAAAATTAAAAAATAAAAGTAAAAATAAATAAAATGCATTTCAAAATCAAATGGAGACCATTTCTTGATGATCTGGGCTGCTGTGCCTTCCTCTTCCTGCATATGCACAGCTAATTGAGAATGTGGTGTTAAATTTATTAGCAGATAAGAACTCTGTCCATTACATTTTTTTTGTATGTTTCAGGCCTTTTAAGGCATATTATTCCTTTATTGCTGTCTGATCTTCAAAACATATCCAGAGGACCTTCTTATTACTTTTTTTTTTTTTTTTTTTTTTGAGACAAGAGTTTCGCTCTTGTTGCCCATGCTGGCAGGCTGGAGTACAATGGCACAACCTCTGCTTACCGCAACCTCCGCCTCCCAGGTTCGAGCGATTCTCCTGCCTCAGCTTCCCGAGTAGCTGGGATTATAGGCATGTGTCACCACACCTGGCTCATTTTGTATTTTTAGTAGAGACAGGGTTTCTTCATGTTGGTCAGGCTGGTCTAGAACTCCCGACCCCAGGTGATCTGCCTGCCTCGGCCTCCCAAAGTGCTGGGATTATAGGCATGAGCCACCTTGCCTGGCTTAATTGTGTTTTTTTATTAGTTCAAGCCACAATAAGAAGTTTATTCAGTCAGCAATCTGTTTTTGACTACTTAACCACGTGCCAGCTACAAAAAAATAACATATAGCTTCAAAAGCCTCTTAAGCGGCTGGGCACAGTGGCTCACGCCTGTAATGCCAGCACTTTGGAAGGCCAAGACTGGCAGATCACTTGAGGTTAGGAGTTTGAGACCAGCCTGGCCAACATGACAAAACCCCATCTCTATTAAAAATATAAAAATTAGCCAGACTTGGTGGCAGGCACCTGTAATCCCAGCTACTTGAGAGGCTGTGGCAGGAGGATCACTTGAGCCCAGGAGCCAGAGGTTGCAATGAACCGAGATCACACCACTGTACTCCAGGCTGGGCGACACAACGAGACCCCATCTCCAAAAAAAAAAAAAAAAAAAAAAAGCCTCTTAAGATAAAATTTTCATTTTTTTGAATTCTCAGAATAAACAACAGTTTCTTAGTGTTAGATTACAATTATTTCTTAATACCACTTAGATCCTTCTTTTTTTAATTAATTTTTTCTCTTTTTGGTGTCTGAGTGGGCCTTAGAGTTAGAAAATAACTGTCTCCTGTTGGCTTGCCTTTTCTCTTTTTCCTCAAGGTCTTTAATATCTCCCTAGAAGATAAAAAGGATATATGCCCATTTGTTTCTGTTTTTTCCCAATTTGATGATAGAAGAATAGGCCTTAAAATATTATAGGTCTTGTTATAGGTAAAATAACAAAAATAGAAAATAATATAAATGATCTTACATATGTAAATATAAAATAAGTTTTTAAAGACCGTTTGTTTAAGCATTTCATTAAGTGCTTTAATGGAGTATCCCATTTTCTTAAAACAGCCTTATCTAGTAGGTAGTTATCATCATCATCATCATCCCCATTGCCATTCCCATTTTGCAGATGAAGAAACCAAACTCAGAGGTTAAGTGACTTGGCTGTAGCCATACAGCTACTAGATGCTCAAGCCAGGATACAAACGTAGATAGTCTGACTTCAGAAGTTTATATACCACAGGCTGGGGATAGTGGCTCATGCCTGCAATCCCAGCACTTTGGGAGGCTGAGGCAGGTGGATCACCTGAGGTCAGGAGTTTGAGACCAGCCTGAGCAACATGGCGAAACCCCATCTCTACTAAAAATACAAAAATTAGCCAGATGTGGTGACGCATGCCTGTAATCCCAGCTACTTGGGAGGCTGAGGCACAAGAATAGTTTGAACCCGGGAGGCAGAGGTAGCATTGAGCCAAGATCAAGCCACTGCACTCCAGCCTGGGCAACAGAGCAAGACTCTGTCTCAAAAAAAAAGTTTATATAGAACCAAATTAAAACTACTAATAAGTGAAATTCAGGAAGATGGTGAAATTATTAGTTCTCTCTTTCTTTCTGAGACCTGCATTACTGCTTTGATGTATGACATCCAAAATGACTGTCTTATTATTTCAAGTTTAAAATGTCCTCCATGCAAGCATATCTCTGTGCCTATTCTAGATTATTAGATGTGAGAATAAAATTAGCTCAGGTAGAGACAGGATCCCATCCCCATTATGATGGGGTGTGCATGAGTGGTAGTTTTCAGAAAAGGACGGTGTCTGCTTGCCATCTTGAACACTCAGATTTGCAAAGGTAATTTGCCTCACCTGGATGATAATTACTGGGTGATGTGATGGTAGAGGTACTCTAAATTGGAGAATAAAGGAAAACCTCAAAAGCTTTGGAAAGTTCATAGCATCGTAGAGGGTAAAATATATGAAGCTTGTTTATAAACTATAAATCAGAGCATTAGAGAATGAAGTGATTATATGTTAGTAAAATCAGCTGTGTCCTTGTGTTATGTGTTAAAATTAATAAGAGTGTGCACAGGAAATAGAAAATGGAGAATTGGAAACAACAAGGGAAGTAAGATAGTCGTTCATTTCATTTTTCAAAGTTAAGGCTAAGCCGAAGGGTCGGAACATGTTGTATGGAAGATAGGAACAGCATGATTTTAAGAGAAGAATACATGAACAAGTGAAATAACAGTGGCCGTTTATTGTCTGCTTACCATGTAGTTAGCACTGTTCTAACTGCTTTTCATTAAATTCTCAGAACAAGTATTAAATGTTAGACATTATTTTCCCTCTTTTACAAAAGGGGGAAGCTGAGAGGTTAAGGAAACAAAGAGGTTAAGTTGCTTACCCAAGGACACATAGTTACTAGTGTTGGAGCCAGTTTGAACTCATGGATCCAGTTCCAGAATGCTTTTTGTGTACTAGATATTTATTAATGTATTAGATGATTGTTTGCCTTAATGTAATTGACTATATAGGTAATTTTGCTTTGTAATTTAAATTAGTTCGAATACATAACGTGTTTTCATTTTCCCAGCGTATTTCAACTTGGCTTATCTGCTCAGTGTTCTTGGGGGAGTTACTAGGGAAAAAAATATAACAGTATTTGTCCTCAGAGTTTGCAGTTTGTTCTGGCAACACGAGACCACACATAAACGGCATAAGTACAGTAACAGGAACTTATAAACAAGAGCAAATTAATGAATTACAAAGTAGAGACATGTCTTAAAATGTGCCATAGGGAATCTTTCCATAACTTTTTTTTTTTTTTAACTTCTGCCCTTTATCTTTCATAGTGTTCTTTGGTTTCTTTGGGGTTTTTAAAGATAAGAAGTACATAGGCCAGGTGCAGTGGCTCACGTCTGTAATCCTAGCACTTTGTGAGGCAGAGGCGGGTAGATCACGAGGTCAGGAGTTCATCAGCCTTGCCAAGATGGTGAAACCCCATCTCTACTAAAATTCCAAAAATTAGCTGGGTGTGGTGGCAGGTGCCTGTAGTCCCAGCTATTCAGGAGGCTGAGGCAGGAGAATTGCTTGAACCTGGGAGGCGGAGGTTGCAGTAAGCCAAGATTGCACCATTGCACTCCAGTCTGGGCAACAGAGCGAGACTTCATCTCAAAAAAAGAAGTGGGGGGGTGGGGGAATACATAGACATTGGTAGAAAATAACAAAAACAAAATTAAAATTTACAAATTGCTTGTATTTACTGATTTGCATGATTTTCACCTAAACTGCAGAAAATTGTCCATAGGAGTTTTTACTAGTAGTATTTTATCTTTACCACTGATCTAATGGTAGAAAAAGAAATAGAGCTCTAAGAGAGGTTTTTTTTTCTTCTTTTTAAAAGTTATCACTTGTCTTTTGTTTACATAGAAAAGTGTGGCTTTGGAATAAATTATATTACTTGACCCACCTCCCACAAAAGTTTTGCTTAAACTCGGCCTATAGGCTGGAAGGACTAGGATGAAAAGGGGTATTGCTAATGGATACTGGTTTCTTTTTGAGTGATGAAAATATTCTAACATTTATTGTCATAAGAGGTGCAGAACTCTATACTAAAAAACATTTAACTGTGTGCTTTAAATGGGTGAATTTTATGGCACGTGATATATATCTCAATAAAGCTGTTTAAAAAATCACCTGGTGACGTGAATCCATTGGTCAAAAATAAAATAAAGAGAAAAAAAAAACCAAAAAATACCTGACCTACAGTGAGCAAACAGTGTCACCTATAATAAATTTAAAACTTTTTTATTGTGGTAAATATATATAACAAAATTAATCATTTTTCGGTACAATTCAGTGGCATTACATACATCCAGTGCTGTGCAACCATCACCACTATCCATTTATAGAACCTTTTCATCATCTCAGAAAATAATTTTTAATATTCTAGTTCAAGTTTGGAAGCAGTAGTCTTGACCTACTGCATTTCAAAATCTAGGCTCTAGAAATACTTGCTCCACCAAAATTGAGTTGTGTCTCCACAGTTTTTAGCCTTTTTGCTGGTTTCCCCTCAAACCAACTTTTTCTTTTGTGTTTCCTATCTCAGGTAATGGCATCACTATTCATGAAGTTGTCCAAACAAGAAATACCTATCATCGTTTCTCTCCTTTATCCCCTGTATTTAGTCACCAGTGCCTATGGATCATGCTTCCTTAATATCTTTGAACCTGTCTACTTCTCCATATCTCATTGTTATTTACTTGACTTAGATTTCTGTCCACTTTCACCTGGTTTTAATAGCCAGCCAGTCATAATAGTAGAGGAATCAGTCAAGCAAAAATGCTTTGGAAGAATTAAATAAGCAATGCTGAACATCAGGAATTGTAGATATCCGTACAGAGAGTTCCAGTAAAATTTTATGAGTCCACGACCCCTTTTCTAAGCAGTCTGGTCCATGTTGGTCTCATACCTCATATGCAGGATTCATTCATTCATTAAATATTTGTTTCATACCTTGTTTGTAACACTTCTGTCTGCCTTCTAAATGTATCCTCAGTCCACTTTCTACCACTTGCTACTGTGTTCATCCAAGTCACCATCTTCCCTCCTGTGGTGTCTCTGCTTCCCTCTTTGCATCTATTCTAAATATAGATAGCTCTCAGTGTGATCCTGATGGGAGATCATATCTATCTTCTGTTTAAGAACCCTCCCCAAAGGCCTTCTCATCCCGCCTAAAGTCAGTGAAGACCTGTGGGCCCTTGGGATCTATCTGTCTGTTGACTTCCTCTATCCCACTCTTCCCCTCACTCGCTGTTCCATATTTCTTGCATATGCTGGGTGTGCTTTTTGCTCCGGGTCTTGGCAGTTTATAGAAATAGCACTTGGGGCTGGGTGTGGTGGCTCACAGCTGTAATCCTAGCACTTTGGAAGGCCGAGGCGGGCAGATCACCTAAGATTGGGAGTTCGAGACCAGCCTGACCAACATGGAGAAACCCTGTCTCTACTGAAAATACAAGATTAGCCAGGTGTGGTGGCGCATGCCTGTAATCCCAGCTACTCGGGAGGCTGAGGCAGGAGAATCGCTTGAACCCGGGAGGCGGAGGGTTGCAGTGAGCCAAGATGGCGCCATTGCACTCCGCCTGGGCAACAAGAGCGAAACTCCATCTCAAAAAAAAAAAGAAATAGCACTTGGCTGCATCAGGTCTTTCCTGAAACACTTCTTTAGTGAGTATTAATTTTGTTTGTTGTCCATCTCCCACACTGGAATGTAAGCTGCATAAAGGCAGGAGTTTTGTCTGTTTCATTTGCTGCAGAATGTCCAGGGTCTAGAGCAATATCTGGTGCATCATGAGTGCTCAGCATATGTTTTTTTAATGACATCTGCTTCCCTAGTGCACAATATGTTCTCCCCTTTTTGTGTAGTCTTCTTTTTGCCTTTGGTGAAATCAATTTTTTTTTATTTTGCCTTTGGTGAAATCAATTTCTATTTCTTCTATGTTTAGCATATGTGTGTGTGTGTGTGTACTGAAATATGTGAAATGTTTATTATTTAATTTTATATACCAGATTTCTGTGTTAAAAATTTTTTATATCATAAAGTTAGACTGCCCTGAGGCTTCAGAAATGTTAGTAGCCTCCTAATTTGACTTCTTTAGTGTTTAAGTTTCTTTCAGAAATCCTGAAACATATCCACAACCGCTGTATGTATACAGTTTCTTTTAACACTTATTTGGTGAATTTATCAATATGAATTTGTCATGTTTCTCAAAATGAGCACTTTTAAAAAATTGGTAATATTGAATTTGATGAAACCTATTATTTATATGGAGTAAATAATATGAAGTGGAACAAATTTACATGTTCCCTTTGAGACTTTTTATAGATATGCATTTGTGTGTGTGTGTGTGTGTGTGTGTGTGTGTGTGTGTGTGTGAGAGAGAGAGAGAAAGAGAGAGAGACAGGGTCTCATTCTGTTGTCCAGGCTGTAGTGCGGCGGCATGCTCTCAGCTCACTGCAACCTCTACCACCCAGGCTCAAGCAGTCCTCCCACCTCAGCCTCCCAAGTAGTTGGGACCACAGGCGTGCGTCACCACACCTGGTAATTTTTGTATTTTTTGTAAAGACGGGGTTTTGCCATGTTGCCCAGGCTGGTCTTGAACTCCTGAGCTCAAGGGATCCTCCCGCCTCGGCCTCCCAAGAGTGCTGGGATTACAGGCATGAGCCACTGCGCCCAGCCCATATTTATTCTAAAAGAAAGAAGTAGAGGTTATAACAGGAATTCAAAATTCAGTTGGCACCAGCAAACCCCAGAGACTTAGGAATATTTTTTGTTACTTTTGCTATCGAATCTAAACGTTCATTTGCCCAACCTACTTCCCCTTTCTTGAAAGAAGTAAAAATTACTTTTGGAAATTTCCTGAATAAATGGAGTCAGGAATCCCAGCAGTTCTTACTGTTAAAGGACGTGCTTGCACACGTAAAGAAGGGTCTGTTTACCTAAGGTTTATTTAGCTCTGGAACATCGTAAGCCCTGGTACAAGTCCAGCCTTCCCGAAACTAACTGCTTGCGTGTACACTCCCTGCTCAGCTTCGCCCCTTTTAAAATGAAGTCAAAACATTCTAATTTGGTAAAGGTGTTAGGTCCTGAGAAATTATTACTTTGTCAATATTACCGTATTTGCTTTTCAGAATTTCAGATTCCAGTCATCCTAGAGAGCATATTATTTCTACAAAAACTGTTTTAGGAGGACTTTGTTATACATTGCTATTATACTCACCCAGAGACAGTTACTTTTTTTTTTTTTTTTTTTTGCAACGGAGTTTCGCTCTTGTCACCCATGCTAGAGTGCAATGGCACAGTCTTGGCTCACTGCAACCTCTGCCTCCTGGGTTCAAGCAATTCTTCTGACTCAGCCTCCCAAGTAGCTGGAACTCCAGGCGTGCACCACCACGCCCAGCTAATTTTTGTATTTTTTTAGTAGAGACAGGGTTTCACCATGTTGGTCAAGCTGGTCTCAAACTCCGAACCGCAGGTGATCTGCCCACCTTGGCCTCCCAAAGTGCTGGGATTACAGGCGTGAGCCACTGTGCCCAGCTGACATTTAAATTTTTTAATCTGAAACTGACCTTTTCTGTTAACATGAAGCATTTGTTCATGCTTTGCTACTATGGTGGTGTCATTTTAACTTTTTCTTTGCTGAATAATTTTGTACTCCATTGTATCCTCATAATTTCAATTGTAGTGTCCCATAGCCCTCCAAAAAAAGCAGTCAGAATCAGATTTTTTATTTTATTTATTTATTTATTTTTATTTTTATTTTTATTTTTTGAGACAGAGTCTTGCTCTGTTGCCCAGGCTGGAGTGCAGTGGCACTATCTCGGCTCACTGCAAGCTCCGCCTCCTGGGTTCACACCATTCTCCTGCCTCAGCCTCCCGAGTAGCTGGGACTACAGGCGCCTGCCACCACACCCAGCTAATTTTTTGTATTTTTAGCAGAGATGGGCTTTCACTGTGTTAGCCAGGATGGTCTCCATCTCCTGACCTCGTGATCCACCTGCCTCGGCCTCCCAAAGTGCTGGGTTTACAGGTGTGAGCCACCGCGCCCAGCCCAGAATCAGATTTTTATATTAAGTTACTAATTTTTTGTGCCAGCCGTCCATCAGCCTCCCCATCTTGGCAGGGTATGCAGAAGAAAAACCTAATAGTAAAATATCTAGGGAAAATGTCTTCATGAGAATTAAAGCAAATGCACAGATAAAAAACGAATATTTTTATTACCAGGATTTTCTATTCTGTGTATTCATTCACGTGAGCATTTAAAGAGAGAAAGGGAAAGAAGGGAAGGCCAGCTTTCATTTCTTGCCTCAGGACATTTAAGTTTGAAGTGCTGTTTTCCTAACACTTACCCCATCTTACAATACAAATTCCCGGAATATGCAGCACCAAAAATTTCAGTATTTTTCCAGATTTGTCTTAAAACCAAAGGTTAAGAGGAGAGTTCCTGAGCCCACACCTGTAATATTTAGATGGTTCTGTTTTGTTGTTGTTGTTGTTTTTAAGTAAAAGGGGTATTATTAAATAATAGTTGGCTGTATTTAAAATCATCAATAGAGAGATGAGAAATTTAACCTCAATTCCATTTTTGTTTAACTTTGGGTGATTTTCCAAGTATTTTAAATTTTATTTTTATTCTTATTGAAGTATTGACATTCATACAATGAAGTGTACAGATCTTAGACATACAGTTTTCATAAATATACTCATCTAATCACCACCCAGATTGCAGTATAAAACATTCCAGGCTGGGTGCAGTGGCTCACGCCTGTAATCCCAGCACTTTGGGAGGCCAAGGCCAGCAGATCACCTGAGGTTGGGAGTTCAAGACCAGCCTGACCAACATGGAGAAACCCTGTCTCTACTAAAAATACAAAATTAGCCGGGCATGGTGGCACTTGCCTTAATCCCAGCTACTCAGGAGGCTGAGGGAGGAGAATCGTTTAAACCTGGGAGGTGGAGGTTGCGGTGGACCGAGATTGTGCCATTGCACTCCAGCCTGGGCAACAAAAGCAAAACTCCATCACAAAAAAGAAGAAGAAGAAGAAGAGGAGGAGGAGGAGGAGGAGGAGGAGGGGGAGGGGGAGGAGGAGGAGGAGGAGGAGAAGGAGGAGAAGAAGAAGAAGAAGAAGAAGAAAGTCATGGTCCCTGTGAAGAAATAACTTTCAGGGCTTATGGTAGAGAACAGTCAACCAGGAAGAGTACCATCTTCCTGAGAAGCATATGGAATAGTCTAGAGGTATTTTTGGTCACAGACTAGGTTGCTGTGGCACTGTTGGCATGCACAGCCCAGAGGCCAGTGATGCTCAATGTTGTGCAAGGCACTAAACAGCCTAAACAATGAAGAACTGTTTTGCCCAAAATGCCAACAACAATCTTACTGAGAAACTCTGGAAATGGTTGACTGAAATTTTGCAGGGTGCCCTCTTTGGAAGATGCAGGATGGCAGAAATCCTAGATTAAAATGGGAAAGGAGAATGCAGGATGGAAGGAAATCTGTGGGCACCACCTCTTTCCCTGGGATTCTGCATGATGTAGTAGACTGAAGGAGAAGCAGTGTGATGTGGCGGAGGCGGTGTTAGGGAAGAATTCACAGTAGGTAGATGAGTCTCAACAGGGTGGGCCAACGTGCATTGTTGATTATTTGTAATGCAACAAAGTTACTCACTTATTCCTCTTCTAAATTCCTACGTTAAATACTTAACATTCCCTTTTAGTCAATCCTAGCAATACAGGAGCTAGAATACATCATTGAGTCATTCAAAGTCCAGTCTTTGAAACCAGAAGAACCAGGGAGTCAAGTCTTGGTTTCTCTATTTTAAGATATGTAACCTCACTGGGCATCAGTTTAGTTTCTTAGCTGTAACATAACTCTTAAATATGCCTTGCTTCTAAAAGGGAGAGGTGGGAAAGCCTACTAAGTCTGTTCTTCCTCTCAGAAGTTACTTATATGGTGTATTGAAAGATCTTGTGGTTTAGGCCTGGTGGATCACTTGAGGTCAGGAGTTTGAGACGAGCCTGGCCAACGTGGTGAAACCCTGTCTCTACTAAAAATACAAAAATTAGCTAAGTCTGGTGGCGGGCACCTGTAATCCCAGCTACTCAGGAGGCTGAGGCACGAGAATCGCTTGAACCTAGGAGGTGGAGGTTGTAGTGAGCTGAGATCGTGCCGCTGCACTCCAGCCTGGGCAACAGAGCAAGACTCCATCTCAAAATAAATAAATAAATATTTTTTTTTTTTAAAAAAGATCCTGTGGTTTAAATGTTGAGCATGATGGAAATTTGAAATGTTTTTAACCCAGGTTTGCTTATCTTTTTTTGAAAGCATTACCTGATTTCATCTGAGATTTTCTACTATGCACACTATTTGGAGTTCTTGGAAATGATGTAATAACAATAGTCACTCCTATCTCCTCCTCCACATAAGTCCAAGATACCTTCAGCTGAGATGAGATTAAGCTGTTGTTCTAACATGTGGAGTTAGCTGTAGCACCATAAATGCAAGAGAATTCTTAATTTAAATTAATATAAATCAACATATTCTTTCATTTGTTTATGATAGACTATAAAGTACTGTCTTATCAGGAGATAAGGCAGGCTAGCAGTTGACTTGGTAATATTTAGAGATGTAGTAACCAAAGCAAAATGTAATATTCCCCTGCTTAGAAATTGCTTTACTGGGCCAGGCAGGTGGATCACATTAGCCCAGGAGTTTGAGACCAGCCTGGCCAACATGGTGAAGTCCCATCTCTACTGAAAATACAAAAATGAGCCAGGCATGGTGGCGCACATCTGTAATCCCAGCTACTTGGGAGGCTGAGGCACGAGAATCTCTTGAATCCAGGAGGTGGAGGTTGCAGTAGGCCAAGATTGCACCACTGCACTCCAGCCTGGGCGACAGAATGACTCTGTCTCAAAAAAAAAAAAAAAAAAAAAAGAAAGAAAGAAATTGCTTTCCTAGAAAAAGTGAAAAAAAGCAAACATTAATTGGGCCTAGCACTGTGCTATTTTCTTTACTCACTTTGCTTAAAGGGAGTCAGTACTGAGAGCTTCCATAATTACTTTGGTAATAGCCTTTGAAAACGTAGTTTGCTTTGACTTATCTGATGTTATAAACACTTGTGTAAGAGGTCTTTAAGATATAAGTTCCAGTTTTAGATTTCAATAGAGACACACAACGCAGGCAAAGTAAACATCAAGGGTATGTAAGTTTATTTCTATCAGTGGAGAACATACTTTGTCATGTCCTGGTTTAAACTGTCCTAGAAAAGGCATATTTGTTAAAAAAAAAAAAAAAAAAAAAAGAAGAAGTTTTCAAAGAGAAACTTCACAGGAATGAAATGTGTTCTTTCTCTCTCTATAGTATAATCCAACCAAAGTAAAATATGAGAAAAGGTGTACTTCCAAATAATAAAAATAAGGCTGGGCACAGTGACTCACGCCTGTAATCCCAGCATTTTGGGAGGCTGAGGTGGGTGGATCACTTGAGGTCAGACGTTCAAGACCAGCCTGGCCAACATGGTGAAACCCTGTCTCTACTAAAAATACAAAAAAATTAACCAGGCATGGTGGCGGGCGCCTGTAAGCTCAGCTACTCAGAAGGCTGAGGCAGGAGAATCTCTTGAACCTGGGAGGCAGAGGTTGCAACGAGCCAAGATTGCACCATTGCATACCAGCCTGGGCGACAAGAGTGAGACTCTGTCTCAAAAAACAAACAAAAAATAACAAAAATAAGACCTTTGAAACAGATGATTAAAGTAAAAGATTGACAGTTAGCTTCAATTCTTATAAAAAATTGTTAAATGAAAGAGATATGAAATAACCACAATTTGCTATTATAGTATATATTAGAGCTAGATGATGGGTAGTATTTTTCCATATTTTATCCTGCTTTATGTCAATTAATTCCTAGTTAATGCTGAAAACTAACTGAAACCATTCTTGGAGCTATCTATTTGAGGGACCCTGAGCTGATATAGAAAACTTTTACCTGCTTTGAGAATATAACCTTTAAGAAGAAAAGGGGGGGCTGGGCGCAGTGCCTCATGCCTGTAATCCCAGCACTTTGGGAGGCCGAGGCGGGCAGATCCCCTGAGGTCAGGAGTTCGAGACCAGCCTGATCAACATGGAGAAACCCCGTCTCTACTAAAAATACGAAATTAGCCAGGCATGGTGGCACATGCCTGTAATCCCAGCTACTCGGGAGGCTGAGTCAGGAGAATTGCCTGAACCCGGGAGGCGGAGGTTGCTATGAGCCGAGATCGCGCCATTGCACTCCTGCCTGGGCAACAAGAGTGAAACTCCATCTCAAAAAAAAAAGAAGAGGAAAAGAGGGGTGGGGAAGTTCTTCAATTTCAAATTCTTTCAGTGCACTGTAATTAATTGGAAAGTATAAGTTGGAGGAGTAGCAGTAATTTTATTTTATTTTCCCCAGGAAGACAGATTATATATCAGCATATTCAGGAAATCTAAGAAGATTAGGAGCTGTGTAATGAAGTATAATATGAGTTAGGAGATCAACTCTGGCTGAACATCCTTAATATTTGTGTCCTTTATTTTGAAAGATTTCAGTTAACAACAGAAATGTTATTTTTGAAGCTGCAGGCTCAAACATGTTTTTGTTGGTTATGGTATAAGTTGTATAAAAGCTCATCAGCTAAACTGGAAATCATATTACTACTGAAGCAGCTGAGTGCATGCTCTATTCTTTGAAGTATAATGCTAAATAGTACTAGTTTAAGACAAAAATGTCTGCTGCCTTTATATTCCTTACTTTATTACATGGATCTTTTCCTGGCTTTCAAAAAAACAAAAAAAAAAGCAGTCTTGAGCGTTCAGAAAATTTATAGAACACTGTCTGTTCTAAGTCACACCTATCTAGGAGGGCTTATGGAGTTTATTTCAGTAATAATATAGTAGTTCCTTCTAACCTTAAGATTACATGCATGGCTGAGAATCTTGAGAAATTTGGATTAAGACTTGATAAAATATTCCTTTTAAAAATGACTGAAAAGCAATTGGTACACCTTAAATCTGTTTGGCAGTGATTAATGTAGTTCCCTAAATCTAATTCTGTTTTGTAAACGTGATTGAAGGTTATCAATATCTAGTGGTTATCAGTAGGTAGATAATTGTGGCGCTCCTTCAACCTCTACCCTCCATCCTTTTCAAGGCCTTCTAGTTCCTTAAGAGAACTAAATCTAGGCCTGGTGCGATGGATCAGTTGAGGGTCAGGAGTTTTAGACCAGCCTGGCCAACAAAGTGAAGCCCTGTCTCTACTAAAAATACAAAAAATTAGCCAGGCATGGTGGCACTTGCCTGTAATCCCAGCTACTCAGGAAGCTGAGGCAGGAGAATCGCTTGAGCCTGAGAGGCAGAGATTGCAGTGAGCTGAGATCGCACCACTGCACTGCAGCCTGGGCAACAGAGTGACACTCCATCTCAATTAAAAAAAAAAAAAAAGAGGCCGGGCGCAGTGGCTCACGCCTGTAATCCCAGCACTTTGGGAGGCCGAGGCAGGTGGATCATGAGGTCAGGAGATCGACATCATCCTGCCTAACATGGTGAAACCCCATCTCTACTAAAAATACAAAAAATTAGCCGGGTGTTGTGGCGGGTTGCTGCAGTCCCAGCTACTCGGGAGTCTGAGGCAGGAGAATGGCGTGAACCCAGGAGGCGGAGCTTGCAGTGAGCCAGGAGCACGCCACTGCACTCCAGCCTGGGCAACAGAGTGAGACTCTGTCTCAAAAAAAAAAAAAGAACTAAATAATCTAATGATGCTGTTACAGCATATTGATCTTTTATATCTATTCCTTCCTTCCTGAGAATAAGATTTATTGTAAAGAGGTTGAAGACTAAAAATGACCTGTTAAAGTTATCTACATTTTCCAAGAAATTAACTACATATTTACTTTTCTCTGTCTCTTCCATGCCAAGCTGTAGATTTTTTTACAGTAGAGTTCCTAAAAATAGTTTTATTCTAACAAACCATATTGAAGTCCAAAAGGACAGCCACACAGTTAAGTTTATTTGTAAAATTCAAGAGTCAGTACAGATTTTTCTCCTCCAAATTGCTTTTATGCTTTTTATCACCCTTAAAAGTAAAGATTTATGTTTGAAAAGTAGGAAAGAATTCTGACCTCTTTATATTTCCATCTGTGTTCTTTCGGAGCCAAAGATAAAAACTTCTTAAGAGCAGTATTTTTTTAAACAGTGCTAAACTTTCTTCTTTGTTTCAAGTCTGTATTAGACCAGATACTTGCTGAAACTCTGCAGTGAAAAATCCTTGGGACTGAGCTACTACACTGGCGTTAAATAGCAATTGGTCTTCTTGCATAAATATTAACTGCTATTTTATATGATACTCAAGTCAAAGTGGGTAACTATGTTGTCTGTTAAGATTCAGTTTCACTTTAAGAGCAAAGGATAACTATTTTCTAACGTGTAAATGCCAGGGCTTACTGATTTGTCTACATTTATTTTACTGCTTTTATTTTCCTGTTATTCTCTTTGAAATTAGTAAGTTAAACCATAAGAAATTTCCTGCTTTAAGGTCAAAAATGGTAGCATGTTGGCAGTTTGATGGTTCAGCCTAGCAATTTTAAAGGATAACAGGCCACTTTATTTTTATATATTTATTTATTTATTTGAGATGGAGTCTCTGTCACCCAGGCTGGAGTGCAATGGCATAATCTCGGCTCACTGCAAGCTCCGCCTCCTGGGTTCATGCCATTCTCTCGCCTCAGCCTCCCAGGTAGCTGGGACTACAGGCGCCCACCACCACGCCCGGCTAATTTTGTTTTTGCATTTTTAGTAGAGACGGGGTTTCACCGTGTTAGCCAGGATGGTCTCGATCTCCTGACCTTGTGATCCGCCCGCTTCAGCCTCCCAAAGTGCTGGGATTACAGGCGTGAGCCACCATGCCCAGCCCTCCTTTTTAAATTTTTTTAATTTTTCTTTTTTTTTTTCGAGACGGAGTTTCACTCTTATTGCCCAGGGCAGAGTGCAATGGCGCAGTCTCGCTCACGGCAACCTCTACCTCCCAGGTTCAAGCAATTCTCCTGCCTCAGCCTCCTGAGTAGCTGGGATTACAGGCATGCACCACCACACCTGGCTAATTTTGTATTTTTGGTAGAGATGGGATTTCTCCATTTGGTCAGGCTACTCTCAAACTCCCAACCTCAGGTGGTCCGCCTGTCTGGGCCTCCCAAAGTGCTGGGATTACAGGCGTGAGCCACCGTGCCTGGCTCATTTTTCGTAAGTGACAGAGTCTCACACTATGTTACCCAGGCTGGAGTGCAGTGGCTGTTTACAGGTGCAGTCATAGCTCACTACAGCCCCAAACTCCTGACTCAAGAGATCCTCCTGCCTCAGCCCCCCAAGTAGCCAGAATCACACCACTGTGCCTGGCTTTCCTTTTTTTAAAAATTGATACATAATATTTATGGGGTACATATGATATTTTGATAGATGCATACGGTATCAAATATTCTGATCAAATCAGAGTATTTTGGATATGTGTCACCGCAAACATTATCATTTCTGTGTGTTTAGAACATTTCAGCTCTTCTAGCTATTTTGAAATACACGGTAAACTATTGTTAACTGTAGTCATCCTGTGCTATCAAAAGCTATAATTTATTCCTCCTATCTAACTATATGTTTGTACCCATTAACCAACCTCTCTTCAATCCCCCTTTCCCTACCATTCCCAGCCTCTGGTAACCACTGTTCTACTCTCTACCTCCATGAGATCAACTTTTTTAGCTCCCACATGAGTCAGAACATGCGATACGTGTCTTTCCGTGCCTGGCTCATTTCACTTAACATCATGACCTTCAGTCCCATCCATCTTGTGCAAATGACAGCATTTCATTCTTTTCATGGCTGGATAGTATTCCGTTGTGTGCATCTGCCACATTTTCTTTATCCATTCATCCGCTGATACTTAGAATGATTCCGTATTTGGCTCTTGTGAATAGTGCTGTAGTAAACATAGCTGTGCACACATCCCTTTGATACACTGATTTCCTTTTATTTGGATAAACAGCAGTAGTGGGATTGCTGGATTGTATGGTAGTTCCATTTTTAGTTTGAAAAAACTTTTTTTTTTTTTTTTAACAGAGGCTAGTTAATTTGTGATTAGATAGCTAAAAGGTTTGTGATTTTTTTTTAAAGGTGGTGGCTGGGCAGCATGGTGGCTCACTCCTGTAATCCCATGCCACAATCAAGGTTAGAATATTTTCATCGTCCCTCCTGGAAGTTCCCTTCTGCCCCTTTGCTATCAGCCGCCTTCCCATACTTTCTGGCAACCATGAATCTGTTTTCTGTCATTACAGTATGTCTTTTTAGAGTTTCATACAAACGAATTCATACAGTGTGCAGTCTCATGTCTGGCTTATTTCAATGAACATTATATTTTGAGATTCATCAGCATTGTTGCCTTAGCAATCATTTGTTCCTTTTCATATATTTCCTTTCTCTCCTCATGTTTCTTCTACCTTTTTGAACATATAGATCATATTTATAATGGCCTTTAACATCCATATCTGCTAATACTCCGTTATTTTTGGTCGGTTTTTATTGACTGACTTTTCCCCTGGTTGTACGTCATATTTTCCTGTTTCTTTGAATGCCTGGAATTTTAAAATTATATGTTGGACATTAATTTTACATTGCTAGTTTCTATATCTTGTTGTTTTCCTTTAGGTAATGTTGGACTTTGTTCTTGGAATCAGTAGGATCCTTTCAAAGCTTGCTTTTAAGGTTAGGGTGGGTTCAGACCAATTTTTAGTCTAGGGTTCATTTATCTCCACTACTAAGGTGATAGGAGTAGAGTCCCCTTCTGAGGACTCTGTTAGATAACCCACATATTATAAGATCTTTATATTTTGGTGGACAAAAATACAAACTATTCCCAGCTCCATGTGAGTGCAGGAATTGTTTGGCCTATTGCTTTCTGATGGATCTTTTCCCCAGCCTCTGCTAGTTTCTTTTCATGCGTATAGAAATCAGTACCCTTCCCAAAGTTCAAAGGGACCCTTCAGCAGATCTCTAAAGCTCTCTCATCGCACCCCACCTCCCTGCTCCTGTACACTGCCCAACAAATTCTAGCCCCCGCAGCCTCCCCAGCTCTGATCTCAACTGACCACTCTCCACTCCAATCTCAGATGTCCTCAGCTGGCAAGACTGGGCCCTCCTTCCCTGTGCAGCAGCCTGCAACCTGCCTTCAGGCAGCACAGTCTGGCATTCCCCGTGGTTCAATGTCTAAAAGTCATTGTTTATGTACTTTGTCCAGTTTCCTATTGTTTACAGCAGGAAGATAAATCCAGCCTCTAGTACTCCATGGCCAGAAGAAGTCTCATCTTCTAAATGTAAATTAAGCATGTATTGATACTTCTAGGGGGAAGTTAGGGGACTTGGCTCATCAGTTCCCAACATACTTAAATATAACACACTTTAATGTCTGCTTTCTTCTTTGTAACTTAAGCGATGACATAAATGATGCTCTTCAGTGCTCACACTAGGCTAATCTAAGCTTGAGTGTTTTTCTGTGATCAACTTGAAATTATCTACATAAAGAGTATTAATTTTGACTTATTTGTGGCCAACTTATATAGAGTAGCTTCCCATGAATGATGGATATGTTAGTATTCTGATTCTAAGGACATTGTTAGCTATCTGTATGTCTGGTTAATTTGTCATAAGAACTTATGTCATGTATCATGCTTGGACTTTTAAAAATATGAACTTGCTGATTTTATAATCTATATATGAAAATTACTGCAGCCTTTTCTATTCATGAGTATTCATGGTTGAGAAGATTCTAAAACAGTTCTTAGCCCTTTCCAAGCAGATCTTTTAAATTTATTGCTTTGCTCTGTATAACAGAACAGTTGTTTGGATATCTTTTCAAAGATTGACTTACCATAATGTCAAAACCTGCCCAAATATTTAGTCAGTTGGCAATTGCAGACAGAAACGTGTGTTTTAATCTATTTGTGTTTTAGGGAAGATGAGCAAAATAGGATTAAAGATACGATTTTATACTATTACAGATATGTTACTGTTGTCTGGTAAGAATTTTAAGGAAACAGGCTAGGCGCGGTGGCTCATGTCTGTAATCCCAGCACTTTGGGAGGCCAAGGTGGGTAGATCACTTGAGGTTAGGTGTTCGAGACCAGCCTGGCCAACATGGCGAAACCCTGTCTCTACTAAAAATACAAAAGTTAGCTGGGCGTGGTGATGTGCACCCGTAACCCCAGCTATCAGGAAGCTGAGACAGGAGAATCGCTTGAACCCGGGAAGCAGAGATTGCAGTGAGCCAAGATCGTGCCGTTGCACTCCAGCCTGGGCGACAGAGTGAGACACCGTCTCAAAAAAAAAAGAAAGAAAAAGAAAAAAAGAATTGTAAGGAAACAACAAAATGAAACTCAGAAGATGAAAATTTGGGGGTCTAAAGGCTTCATCTCTGGTCTTATGTGTAAAATTTATTTGCAGCACAGTTAATTAGAATGAATCTTAAAGTTAGAAGATGTAAATTCTAGTTGCAGCTATGCCACTTGCTACTTGTAATGTGCCACACACTATTGTGCAACTGTAGGCATGTCACTACCTTGGTGAGAGTCTCCCCACCTATAATATGAAGATAATCATAAATATCCTGCCTACTGTCAAGGGATTTGTGGAGTGCTCAGTGAGGGGGTATGGCTGAAATTCTTTGAGGATGCTAACGCTCCATTAAACGTTTTTTACATTATTATAACTTCTGCTGTTAACAGGTAGAATGACAGAATACAAAATGAGACATTTTACATTTATATTCCATATGGTTTACTCTGTAAAATATTTTATGGTGAAATGGAAAAAAACGAAACAGAACTGATTAGATAGAATGGAGATAGAGGAGATTTACTGTCTTTTTTCCATTCCTTTTTACTTAGGATTATTTTGTTTTCTCTCACCGTGACTTTCCAGGTAAAGAGTGTGTACAACAGTTAGCTGAAAACACCAGGTATTTCAGGAGACGCCTGAAAGAGATGGGCTTCATCATCTATGGAAATGAAGACTCTCCAGTAGTGCCTTTGATGCTCTACATGCCTGCCAAAATTGGGTACGTTTTGTTGCAGATCACAGACCAGTCTGTCCTTATCCTTATCTGTGATGTGAGACCAGGGCTTATGTATTTTGTTAGGGAAAATGGTCTTGTCCTTACTGTGTTAACCTTCATTTGGTACATATGCCATAGATCAAATAGTGGATTCCAAATTGTAAAGTATGTTAATTTGTTCTTCTTTCATTAAACATTTGAGTTTCATGTACTCTCTAGGGGCCTGGGATAGATCAGTGAATAAAATACAAACATCTCTGTCCTTGTGGAGCTTACAGTCTAGTAGGGGGCAACAGTCAGACAGACATAATAAACAAATGAACTGTGTACGATGTTAGAAGGTGTCAAGTGCTATGGAAAAAAATAGAGCAGGACCTATATGGGGAGTTGAGAGTGCCCTGTGGGCGGGCCGATAACACTATTAAATAGGGTGGTCAGGGTAAGGAAGCCTCCTTGGGAAGGAAAATGACATCTGAGCAAAGATTTGAAGGAGCTGACAGCCACTGGAGAAAGAAGCATCTGTGCAAAGGCCACAGTACAGAAGCGAGCTTGCTTAGCTGACGGAAGAGTAGCAAAGAGGTCCCTGGAATTGGAGCACCGTGCCCCAGGGCGAGCAGTGGGCCATGAGGTCAGAGAGGTTTTATCAGAGTGTGTTATTGGATACTTACCAGGTGTGCAGATTACACCAGCTTCTTTGGTTTGTATGAGGCATACATAATGGAAAGCCCTGCCCTAGGATAGCTTTCAATGTATTTGAGAAGTCCAGATGTATAATGAAACCAGAAGACATTTGAAAAGCAAATGAACAGTAATTATACTGAACAAATTTTATTATATGCAAAGTGGCCCTGAAGATGTAGAATAAAGGAGTGACCTGCTTAGTATAGGCTCAGTAAGAAAGGCACATCTTGTTGGATGGGTGAGTTTTGAGCTGGATCTTAAAGCATTTCTCCAGTTTGATTGAACTCATTGAAGGAGCAATTTTTGTAAATTTTTGAATCCCCAGTGTCCACCACAGTCTCCGACACTCAGTAAATGTTTACTGAAATGAATATGGGAGAGGAAATTAAATCAGGGAACCTGGAAGTAATGTGATTCAAAGAGAATGAAAGGGAAGTAAGGAAAAGGTGCTCCCTGAGAGAAAAAGAAGAATTTGGGTTTCAACATGAAGTCATATGGGCAGTTGGTATTATGGCTTCAGAGGGGATGGGGAAGGATTTTCTTCATTCTTCTTTAAGTGGAATTCTCATAAACAAACATGAAGAGTTATCAGATCCAAAGGACTCAGTCTAGAGCTCTCTTTAAAGAAGGCTGTGTCTCCTTTATTCTACATAGGTGCAACTGACTGTGTACACTTTAATTAGGAAAGATTTAGAGAAGGTACAGGACCCAAAAGGGCACAAAAAAGCAATAACTACTAAATATAAGGAAAACAACTCTGTATACAGCATGTATAAAGAAAAGCAAGGTATATTTGGGGAGATAAAAGTTGTAAAGGCATTAAGATGTGTGTTTGTTGAGAAAAAATAAATTTGTGCATTTAAGAAGTTAAAAAAAAAAGATTTAGAGAAGGTAAAGAATTAGAATAAGGCACTAGACAGTTTGGGAGCATGTGCTGAAGATACAGGGCACCCAGGTTCATGCTGACACAAAGGAGGTATGTTGAGGAAGATGTACTGGTACTACAGAGAGTGGGAAAAGGCTGTGAAAAGACTGGCATTAATGTAATGCCAAATGTGCAGGATCTGTATAGCCCAGGCTGGAGTGCAATGGCGTGATCTCGGCTTACTGCAACCTCCACCTCCCAGGTTCAAGCAAATCTTGTGCTTCCGCCTCCCCAGTAGCTGGGATTACAGATGTGTGCCACCACACCTGGCTAATTTTTGTATTTTTTAGTGGAGATGGGGTCTAACCATGTTGGCCAGGCTGGTCTCCAACTCCTGACCTCAGGTGATCTGCCCGCCTCGGCCTCCCAAAGTGCTGGGATTACAGGCACGAGCCACTGGCCCGGCCACATTTTTTTATTCTCAAACAAATGCTGTAAACAGCTTAAAGGAAAAGTTGAAACATAAGGGAGGTCAATAAGAGGAAAAGACAAAAAGCAACATAATTTGGGCCAGGCACAGTGGCTCACACCTGTAATCCCACTTTGGGAGGCCGAGGTGGGTGGATCACAAGGTCAGGAGATCGAGACCATCCTGGCCAACATGGTGAAACCCCGTCTCTACTAAAAATACGAAAATCATCTGGGTGTGGTGGTGCACACCTGTAATCCCAGCTGCTCGGGAGGCTGAGGCAGGAGAATTGCTAGAATCTGGGAGGTGGAGGTTATGGTGAGCCAAGATCGTGCCACTGCACTGCAGCCTGGCGACAAAGCGAGAGACTCAAAAAAAAACCCACATAATTTAGTAGACAAAATTAACTAAAAGTTAGAATGTGTTATTTAGACAAGATACAGATGTGGAGTAAGGCCACAGGGCCTCCAATTTGGCTTACGATAGGGGTGGGGGATTGTTAAATACGAATTGTGTGGTCTGAGTAATCAGCTGAAGCCAGCGGGTGAACTGGCCTGACAGACACCAAAGGAAGCCCTGAATTCTGAAGCAGTGTTGTTCCCAAGACAATTAAAGAAACGTGTGATCTGGAGAGCTCATGCCAGTCAGCCATTCTGCTAGCAGAAAAGATGTGCCGTGTTACAGCAGATCCCCCACAGCTGCAGAATCCTCAGAATTTGCGGATTAATGTTAAACTGCCAAGCTTAACATTTCAAGGACCAGATTTTAATTAAATACAGGTTCATTTTGAAGCCTCTGAACCACTATTACATATCAGGGACACTTTTTTTTTTTTTTGAGACAGAGCCTTGCTCTGTTGCTCAGGCTGGAGTACAGTCGTGTGATCTTGCCTTACTACAGCTTCTGCCTCCAAGCTTCGAGAGATTCTCATGCCTCAGCCTCCTGAGTAGCTGGGACTACAGGTGCATGCCACCACACATAGCTAATTTTTTGTATTTTTGGTAGAGACGGGATTTCACCATGTTGCCCAGGCTGGTTATTTCAGTTTTGTGAAGGACACCATATAGGAGAAGACTGCTTTAGGATTGACTTTAAAAGTATTTGTGAGCTGTCAATTTTAACTTTAAAAGGAGTTAAAGGAAACTCCTATTAGAAGTCTCCAATGCCTGCATCACCAAAGAGTTGAAATCTTTGAGGACAGCAGGTCCTCTGTAATGAGTGCTTTTTCACTCCTCCTGGTTTCTGTTCTTGTTTTCCCCTTTGCAGCGCCTTTGGACGGGAGATGCTGAAGCGGAACATCGGTGTCGTTGTGGTTGGATTTCCTGCCACCCCAATTATTGAGTCCAGAGCCAGGTTTTGCCTGTCAGCAGCTCATACCAAAGAAATACTTGATACTGTAAGTAGGCACTTTCACCTTGATATAAATATGCCTTTTATTAAAAGGGCCTGTATATTAGATGAAATTCATAATATATTGATCTTGATGTTCTTGTGAGCACCTAAGACAGAGGGGGTGACAGTGCTACCAAAAACATTGGCATTTACAAAAAAACTGTCACCCACCACACCTGCATCATGAGAGCTCTGGAGAATTTTCCGGCTTTGTCTTGCTCTACTGTCTCCCTCACTATGGACTCTACAATTCTCTTTCCACTCTAGCTATTTCTACATTAAGCTTTCTCATATGTTGTTCTGTCTAAAATTTTCTCTCTTGAGCTTTCTCTCCCCTCTGCCTGGCTGACTGCCACTCATTCTTCACATCTCCATTTAAAGGAAAATTGCTCAGGGGCGCCCCACACCTTCTTGCTCTGTGTTCCCTTGGAATCCTGAGATTCTCCCTTACTAAATTCTTCACACCTATAATTATTTAATAGCAGTCTTCTCCATTAGATAAATATTGAGGATAGGAATAAGTCTGTTTTACTGATTCTATATCCCAGCACCCACCACACTGCCAGGCATCTAGTTGGGGATCATTATTACTAAGCTTAATTATTTATTATCTCAAGATATTCTCATCTCTATATATTCTCTTAATATGTTATTGTTGCAAGTCTAAGATTTCAGAGTTTAAATCATTATTGCCATCTGGGAGTTTATAAAGCTTTAGAACATGACATTTGCATAAAATTAGTTGCTAGAAATATCCATTAATGAGTTAGAGAGCTACTAATTTTTTTTTTCTTTTTTGAGAGAGAGTTTTGCCCTTGTTGCCCAGGCTGGAGTGCAATGGCGTGATCTCAGCTCACCACATCCTCTGCCTCCTGGGTTCAAGCAATTCTGCCTCAGCCCCCTGAGTAGCTGGGATTACAGGCATGCGCCACCATGCCCAGCTAGTTTTGTATTTTTAGTAGAGTCAGGGTTTCTCCATGTTGGTCAGGCTGGTCTCGAACTCCCGACCTCAGGTGATCCGCCTGCCTCAGCCTCCCAAAGTGCTGGGATTGCAGGCGTGAGCCACTGCCTGGCAAGAGCTACTAATCCTAAAGAACATTATGAATGCTTCTTTATAAAAGTTAATTATAACAATTTGATGGACATTTTGTATTCCTGAATAGCCGAAGACTTGACTTTTCTTCTCTGTTTCTACACAGCAAAATTTCTATGAGTATAAGTGTATTCCCTTTTAAAAAACAAAATTGTAGTAAGAACACTTAACATGAGATCTGTCCTCTTAACAAATTTTTCCATGTCGAATACAGTATTGTTAACTATAGGCACAGTGTTGTGAGCATATTCTTAATTACATTCTGACAATATCCAATTAGATTCAACTTTTTGATATTGTATCTTTTTTTTCTTTATTTTGATTATGCCTGTCAGATTTTTCCAATGGATTTTTCTCATTTCTCAGAAATTTTACTGGTGAATTTCTGTGATGATTTTTTTTAACCTAGAGATTTCAGCTTTTCTTTCCTTCCTACTCTATTGATGTTTTAAGAATTTTCTTTTTTCTTTCTCATGTTCACCTGTTAACTCAGAATTTCAATGTGCCTTTAAAAAAAAGTCTGTGTAACTATAACCAGTGTCTATGGCAGTAATCCATGCCTTCTGACCACAACTTTGACTTCTGAGAACTGTACACATTCATGAAAGAATTTAGATGTAACCAGGATATCTCCTTAGGATATCTAAGGAGATTTCTGTTGCCAACAAGTATGTTTGCCAACTGAGAGTTCTAATCCTTTTCATAAGATTCTCTTGAGGGATTGTTGGGCTTTGCCTCCCATTTAGTTTTTTAAAGCATAAAGTGCATTTTTTGAAACCATGGATTTGTTAAAGTCATTTTGTCTTATGATGTTTTATGGAACTAAACGTGTACTAGACCATTATGAGATACAAATTAATTTTCATTTAATAATGGGCCTCATGACATGATTCTGTATATAGAAAGTGCTGTAAAATACACACACACACATGCGCGCGCGCGCACACACACACACACACAGCTAGAGCTCATAAATGAATTCATCAAAGTTGCAGGGTAAAAGATCAGCACACAAAAAATTAGTGCTTTTATACACCAGCAATGAACAAATGAAAAGAAAATTTCTTTTACAATTTTCAAAAGAAGAAAATACCTAGTAATAAACTTAAGAAAGCCTTTCCTGGCTGGGTGCGGTGGCTCACACCTGTAATCCCAGCACTTTGGGAGGTCAGGCGTTTGAGATCAGCCTTGCCAACACAGTGAAACCTCATCTCTACTGAAAATACAAAAAATTAGCCAGGCATGGTGGGGGGCACCTGTAATCCCAGCTACTCGGGAGACTGAGGCGGAAGAACCACTTGAATCTGGGAGGCGGAGGTTGCAGTGAGCTGAGATCGCACCACTGCACTCCAGCCCGGGCGACAGTGCGAGACTCTGTCTCAAAAAAAAAAAAAAAAAAAAAAAAAGCCTTTCCCTTGTACACTGGCTAATTTACACTTGTACACTGTATTTTTAGATGTGTATATTGAAAACTATAAAACTTTGCTGAAAGAAATTACAGAAGACTTAAAGAAATGGAATGACATCCTGTGTTCATGGATTGGAAGATTTAATATTGTTAAGATGGCAGTATAGCAACCTACAGATCCTGTGTTCAGCATTTCTCAGAAAAAAATGGACTGGGAGACCCTAAGCCACTGGCCCTTTTTTGCAGAAATTAAAAGGCTGATCCTCAAATGTATATGGAACTGGCAGGGAATAGCTAAAATAGTACTGAAAAGGAAAAGCAAAGTGGGAGGACTCACACTTCTTAATTTTAAAACAAAGCTAATTACTACAAAGCTACAGTAATTACAACAGTCGAGTACTAGCATAAGGATAGACGTATAGACCAGTGAAGTAGAATTCAGAGTTCAGAAATAAAGCACAAGCATCTATGGCCAATTTGTTTTCAACAAGGGAGCCAAGACCAGTCAATGAGAAAAGAATAGTCTCTTCAACAAACAGTACTAGGTCAGCTGGATGCAGAAGAGTGAAGTTTTAACCCTACAGCATGGATAAACCTTGAAAACATTAGGCTAAATGAAAGAAGCCAAAACAAAGACTACATAACTTACAATTCCATTTATAAGAGATGTCCAGAACAGGCAAATCATAGGGTCAGAAAATAGATTGGTGGCAGCCAGCCTGAGAGGAGGGGGAGTGAGGATTGAGACAACGAGTATTGGGTTGCTTTTTAGGGTGATAAAAATACTCTAAAACTAGATAGTGACAAAAGTTGCACAACTCTGTGAATATACTTAGAAGCAATGAATTGTATACTTTAAAAGTGAATTTTGCTGAATGTGAATTGTATCTCAAAGCTATAATTTTGTTATTTTTTAAAATGGGAAGCGCAAGGATATTGGCTCAGGGGAGCGGCAGGATGGCTGTCCTAGAGGATTCGGTTACTCAGCTCTATAATGAATACATGTTTTTCTCCTAGAAACCCACCTTACCTGTGATCTAGAGGTTCTGTGTAGACTGTTAATGAATGGCGATGCATGTAATGGCTGCCTGTCCCTAACATACCCAAATACCCCACACAAGAGTCAGCACTCATTAGAATGTCATCTTATATTCACATGACACCGATTTGTCTGAAATATTTGGAGTGGGATCAAAGGAAATCTTGTAATCTAGATCCCCTTGGGCTACTGAGGATTTCTTTTTCTATCTAATGATTACTTTTCTACATTGATGAAAAAATTCTAGATTCTTCTAAAGTTTATAAATGTCCATTACTTTGTGATCTTAGTCATGTGCACTTTTGTCTTATTATTATTATTTTGAGGCAGGGTCTCAGTCACCCAGGCTGGAGTACAGTGGCATGATCTTGGCTCACTGCAGCCTCCATCTCCCAGCCTCAAGGGATCGTCCCACCTCAGCCTCCAGCATAGCTGGGACTATGCCTGCCAATTTTTTTTTCTTTTAAGAGACGAGGTCTTACTATGTTGCCCAGGCTGGTCTCAAACTCCTGGGTTCAAGCAGTCCGCCTGCCTTGGCCTCCCAAAGTGCTGTGATTACAGGCTTGAGCCACCGTGTTCAGCCTTGACTTTTTTTTTTTTTTTTTTGAGACAGAGTTTTGCTCTTGTTGCCCAGGCTGGAGGGCAATGGCATGAACTCAACTCACCGCAGCCTCCGCCCCCTGGGTTCAAGCGATTCTCCTGCCTCAGCCTCCCGAGTAGCTGGGATTACAGGCATGTGCCACCACGCCCAGCTAATTTTGTATTTTCAGTAGAGACAGGGTTTCTCCATGTTGGTCAGGCTGATCTCAAACTCCCGACCTCAGGTGATCTGCCCATCTCAGCCTCCCAAAGTGCTGGAATTATACAGACATGAGCCACCGCGCCCGGCCAGCTTTGACTTTTGTCTTAAATTATTACATCTTGTCACAGAGGTCAGGTGAATAAATGGTCGATGGGTTCTCCCAGCTTAATTTCAGACTTAAATTGTTTCCATGTGGAGCTTTCACTTATACCTCTTCTCAGAGGTACCGCTGTTGTGATAGCACATTGACGTTCAGCTCTTATTTGCTTTTATATTTTTCACATTTTGAAATGAAGAATATTTTTTCTTGTGCTACAATACATCAGTAATACTGGTGGTTTTCTCTCTCCAAACACTGATTTTTTAAAAAAATGAAGTTTAAGATGCCAGGTGTGGTGGCTCATGCCTGTAATCCTAACACTTTGGGAGGCAGAGGTGGGTGGGTAACTTGGTGCCAGGAGTTCAAGACTAGCCTGGCCAACATGGCAAAACCCTGTCTGGACAAAAATTAGCTGGGTGTGATGGCACATGCCTGTAGTCCCAGCTACTCAAGAGGCTGAGGCAGAGAATCTCTTGAACCCAGGAGGCAGAGGCTGCAGTGAGCCGAGATGGTGCCACTGTACTCCAGCCTGGGTAATAAAGCAAGACTCTGTCTCAAAAAAAAAAAAAAAAAAAAAAAAAAAGTTGCTGGGTTCGTTGGCTTACGCCTATAATCCCAACACTTTGGGAGGCCAAGGTGGTGGATCACTTGAGGTTGGGAGTTCAAGACCAGCCTGGCCAACATGGTGAAACCCCATCTCTACTAAAAATACAAAAATTAGCTGAGCATGATGGCGGGCACCTGTAATCCCAGCTACTTGGGAGGCTGTGGCAGGAGAATCACTTGAACCTGGGAAGTGGAGGTTGCAGTGAGCTCGGAGGGCGCCACAGCACTCCAGCCTGAGCAACAGAGCGATACTCCATCTCAAAAACAAAAGGGAGAGATGACAAATTGTATTCGGTTTTGTAAGTTCAGAGTGCATATAACTTTTTCTACCAAGCATATCATACTTTGAATTATAGCCTTTATTCTGCATACCTGGCTATTCACAACCCATTATTCATGGTGAGCTTGAAGGCCTTGTTCAAAAAGCAGCTCCTTCCACAGCTGTATTGTAGTCTGATCTTGTAAATGCACTAGACATAAGTCCTGCCGAAGGATAATCTTGCCATGATTGTTTTTAGCAAAGTAAAACACCAGGCATGCCTGCATCCTACTGGCTCTGACAGACCTCTACTTTGTCTTGTGTATTTTAGGCTTTAAAGGAGATAGATGAAGTTGGGGACCTATTGCAGCTGAAGTATTCCCGTCATCGGTTGGTACCTCTACTGGACAGGCCCTTTGACGAGACGACGTATGAAGAAACAGAAGACTGAGCCTTTTTGGTGCTCCCTCAGAGGAACTCTCCCTCACCCAGGACAGCCTGTGGCCTTTGTGAGCCAGTTCCAGGAACCACACTTCTGTGGCCATCTCACGTGAAAGACATTGCCTCAGCTACTGAAGGTGGCCACCTCCACTCTAAATGACATTTTGTAAATAGTAAAAAACTGCTTCTAATCCTTCCTTTGCTAAATCTCACCTTTAAAAACGAAGGTGACTCACTTTGCTTTTTCAGTCCATTAAAAAAACATTTTATTTTGCAACCATTCTACTTGTGAAATCACGCTGACCCTAGCCTGTCTCTGGCTAACCACACAGGCCATTCCCCTCTCCCAGCACCTTGCAGACTTGGGCCCATCAAGAGCTACTGCTGGCCCTGGCTCCGCAGCCTGGATACTTACCTGGCCCTCCTCCCTAGGGAGCAAGTGCCTTCCACTTACTTCCCATCCAGGTCTCAGAGGTCTCAAGGCCAACCTTGGAATCCTTATTTAACCATTCAAGTAATCAACGGAAGTTTTCACCCTTTAATCTTAAGTTTAGCCTTTTAAGAAAAACAGTAAGCGATGACTGCTGAAAGGCTCATTGTGTAATCTCCCAAGGGTTTGGTCTTATTCCATTTTCTTCTGGTCACCAGATGATTTCTTCCTTTACCATCAAATACTTCTTCATAATGGTCACAGTCTGAGGATGTGCGCAAATTCTGGTTCTTCCCAAGCTCTAACCGTAACACGTCCCACCCCCTTTTTAAAGCACTTACTGTTTTCAGAGCACCCATATCCCACCCTGGTGAGAAGGCCACTCTCACATCTGAGTGTTGGGTACAAAGCTGCTCCGTAGAGTGATGTGCACTCCTGGTGGGTGAGGGGCAGGGGCAGTGGCAGTGTGCAAAGAATTGATTACTCCTTGCAGAGCCTGTGGCTTGCATTTCCTACTGCTTTCTACGTTTGAAAATTATGACAGTCTCTGGCTAGGTCTGGGTCCAGATTAGGATTTAAACTGATAAAGGAAACTGTTGGTAAATCCTCTGCTCAGAAAGCATTTATCATGTTCCTATTTAAGGATTAGGTTTATTAATTTAGGCCTCTTAGAAGCTAACCCACTTAAATATTACTCTTCTGAATGCTAGTTCTCTTTTATTCTTGATGTCCTAAGTCAATTGAATCTGGCATCTGGGGCTAGGGTCTGCCTGTCTACATATTTTTTATTTTTTTCTGAGAAATTCTGAACACATAGATCTCTTTCCTAAACTGACATTTTCTATTTTGACTGTTTTCATACTATAACCAGGTAAAGGGACTTCTTTCAGAGAGCTTTATACTGCCTGACCAAAGAACAAATCTGAAAATCACCATTTTAAAGTTATTTTTTCAGTTGAACCAAAGTTTAAGTGAAGAGGACTTTTGGCATATTATACCCAGGATCAGTTTGTCTTTTTGTATCCATCAAGTATTACAGGAGAAGGATTGGGAACAGAATGGAAAAACAGTGTATGAAAGTCATGTTACAGGCCGAGTGCGGTGGCTCACACCTGTAATCCTAGCACTTTGGGAGGCTGAGGCAGGTGGCTCACTTGAGGTCAGGAATTCAAGACCAGCCTGGCCAACATGGTGAAACCCCGTCTCTACTAAAAAGACAAAAAATTAGCTGGGCGTGGTGGCGGGCACCTATAATCCCACCTACTTGGTAGGCTGAGGCAGGAGAATCGCTTGAACCCAGGAGGCGGAGGTTGCAGTGAGACGAGATTGTGCCACTGCACTCTAGCCTGGGTGACAGAGCAAAACTGTGTCTCAAAAAAAAAAGTCATGTTACACATTTAAGTTTTTGAAATTGCTCCTTTTATCGGTAAAGATTCTCAATCCAAATTCTCCTGGGTGTGTTGTCATCAGCTGTGATATGTTTGTGCACATTACGTATAGCAGAGGATGTAAGCAATATTATTGTTTGTGAAGTTTTGTTTTTAATGTCTTGAGTATGAGTTATGTTTAGTCACTGTCAGCATCTGAGAACTTTAATAAGCCCTTGAGATATTCCAAAGTTTTATTTTACTTTTTTAAAGAACAGAAAAAGATGAATGAAAGAACCAAGGAGAGATGCAGAGACTATATTTAGCATGTATAGGTTAAAGTAAGAAGGAGGTTGTGGTAACTAAATAGGAGTCCTATAAAATCAAATACATTGTCAACCTTTTCTGCACATCTAGTTTCCTACCATAGAATCCCACTGGAATACCACATAGCTTTTGCACTGCAGTTACTATTTACTAATGTAAACGTAGGGTTTGTAAAAGTCACAAACTTATAAGCAATGAACTTACCTGCTAGTCTTTTTATTTTGGCTTGCATGAAGTCACTGCAAATTCAAATGTCAGTACCGGCATTTAAAATATATCTATATCACTTTGTTGGTACAAAGTTATTTCAAGATAAGTGTAATTTTGTTACAAGTTTATTTTGAAGAGACAAATCTCCTGTGATCTATGCAGGACCTCTGTACTTTCTAAAGAACAAAATGTTATGTAGACATTATACATGGTTGGTTGTCTCTTCTTGAAACTGTAATGTAAATCTAGGGTCCAGTCATATCCTAGGTATCATCATTTATCCAAGTACTTGGAGGAATACAAGTATATATAAATACAGTCATTGAGAATAAGTCGATTTGAGGCATACAAGAGTAGTTTCTTACACAGTTTAACACGGCCTGATTCAAGACTCTGATAGGATTCAAACAGATACCGGTTAACCATGACTACCAAAACTGATCATCTGAGTCGATTGATAGAGGTGTGACTAGTCCTTAGCACTTTTTCTCATTCCTCTTTTTATTCAGCATTGCTGTTACCTATTTCAGGTTTATAAGACCTCTTTCAGCAGATCACATCAGAAGCCAGGAAATGCATAGCTAGGAGATGTCAAAAGCCCATATGAGGAGTGGACCAAGCAGCAGTGGCGGTTTCTCCTCGCATCTTTTTTTTTTTAAGCTTTAACTTAGCAGGGGCATGGACTTTATAGCACTTTTTCAACTTTTTGCTTTGCTTTGGATAAGAAATCCTTACCTTTAAAAAAAGCTTCTAGTCTCCATAACCCCCAAAGTACTGCTTATTTGTTTGAAGAATCCAGCCATCGTAGTGCTTTAGTCACTATCGTAAACATTCATGATAGGGCAAGGATTTTAAAACAGGATTCTTGCTTCTGTAGTCATCAAGGTGAACAGAAGCATCCTACACAACCACTAAGGGCTCTATGTTTGTGTCATGCCTCTTCAAACACCAAGGAGTTGAACATGCTTCCAGTGATTTGTCTCCGTAATGCCTTCTTCCTTTATTTGGCCTTTCTTTCTTTCTGTACCTTCAAGTTCTTGATTTTTAAAATTCCAACTCTAGAGAAAACCAATATATGGTGGTGCTGGGCTTTGAAGATAGCATATCAGACGCCTTGGTTCTGTTTGTACACTTAGCCTTACATTTCAGGAGGAGGCTTTTCATTAGGGGCTTAAGCTAGCTCCTTTGGCTTTTAAAAAAAATTTTTTTTCAAATTTCTTCATTACCTAAGGGAGCCTGCATCTAAATTTCTCAACTAGTTCAGCCTAGCTGAATTTTCTAGTGTGTTATACACTTTGCTTCCTTCTTATTGGTGAAAACCAGGGGGATGAGTGGCTTCCATGGAGAGATTTCCTGATTTCTCAGGGAGGAAAAAAGTGATGACATTTACCACTACTTTTATGTTTTTCCCCTTTTTCCAAATTGATAAGGATTTCTGGTTCCTAGTGATCCGGGATTGGGCAACAGTGCAGAACTGCCAGTCATGCCGTAGGCCGTGAAGAAAGAATGTGAGTAACTGTTGTTTTGCAAGGATTTGTAGGGTTATGGGCAGTTGTTGTTTGAAGCATTGCTATGACCTAATTCCCAAGGTATCTTTCCTCTCTTGGTGTTCTAGGTAAGCCAATGAGCTTTAATCTCTACTTGCTATAACCGTGTGCTTAGAAAAAGAGGTGAGAGTAGTGGTTTTCCTTCAAACTGTCCACATTCATGAAGATTATGAATTGTTAGGACAGCCAGGGCAAGATAGACCCTGTCTCTACAAAAATTTTTTTCTAAATTAACCGGGCATGGTGGTGCCTGCCTGTAGTCCCACCTGTGTGGGAGAATCACTTGAGCCTGGGAGGTCAAGGCTGCAGTGAGCCATGATTGCACCCCTGCACTCCAGCCTGGGTGACAGAGTGAGACCCTGGCTCAATAAGAGGGGGAAAAAAAATTGTTAGGAGCTGGGTGCGGATGCAGCCTGCAATCCCAGCTACTTGAGAGGCTGAGGCCGGAGGATTGCTTAAACCCAAGAATTTGAGCGTAGCCTGGGCAACACAGCAAGACCCCATCTAAGAAAAAAATGTTTTTTAAATCAGCTTAGCCCAAAGGGGTTGTGAATGGGGAGGTATAAAAAGCAAAGATTATTTTTTGGCTACTAAGCCAAGAACTTACAGGGATTTTTTTTTTCAGTCCCAGAACCTACAGATACCCTGCTACTTGCTTCACGTGGATGCTCAGTGCCCAGCAGCCATCTTAATACATTAAACCAGTTTAAAAAATACCTTCCATGTGGAGAAAAACATGTCTTTTTCTCGCCTCAACTTTATCCACATGAAATATGTGCCCATGGCTGGGCGCAGTGGCTCACCTGTAATCCCAACACTTTGGGAGGCTGAAGCAGGCAGATTGCTTGAGGCCAGGAGTTCGAGAACAGTCTGGCCAACATGGCGAAACCTCATCTCTACTAAAATTACAAAAATTAGCCGGGCATGGTGGCACATGCCTGTAATCCCAGCTACGTCAGGAGGCTGAGGCACAGGAATTGCTTGAACCCAAGAGGCAGAGGATGCAATGAGCCAAGATCACACCACTGCACTCCAGCCTTGGCGACAGAGGGAGACTCTGTCTCAAAAAAAAAAAAAAAAGGTGTGCCCAGGCCCCTAGCCATTGCCATGTGCCCAGCCAGAGAGCCAAATTAGAGGGCTGGCTTCCCTATCACACAGAATAAATGCTAGTGCTAGCCAATGATCCCTTTGCTTTTAATGTATAGAAAATACTGTTGTTCCTTTTGTCATTTCCAGTGACATCTGTTTTCTAAGCAGCTCTTTTCTAGGGAGGAAACCAAAGGGGCTAGGTTAAGACCCTAATAGAAATGTTTTTTCTAATCTCTGGTGAGTCTGGAAGTGTCACATTCACAGTCCACCCTTGGGAGTGGCTTGGTGGAGCTGGGGACAAGGTTTTGTTTACTACATAGTGCACATGATAAATGGCCTTAAACTGTGATTCTTTCTGGTAGGATAAGTTATAATAAACTGACCCTAAAGAATGCAATGGCTTTTAAACTGCAGTTACTGTGTTCTTAATGAAGCAATACCCAAAGCTCTGTTCTTTTGGAGCACTTGAGGGGAGCTTGAATGAAAGGTGCAGATAAGAGCAGTACCTTGATCTTATGCTTTCTGAGTGTCCTGCCTTGTTGCCATCTGCATGGATGAGTGAATGCTTCTATGCACGAGGAGACTCAAGCCAACTCAGAGTCTGCTTTTTCCAACGCTCTTCCCAGGTTTCTTTTGCAAAGCTTGGTCATTTGGCCCAGGTCTTCCTGGAAAGTGGAGTACATGTCACTGACTAGGGTGGCGTGGTGTCTTTACCCTTAACATTAAGTCTTGTTACCTCAGTGATGTGAAGCCAATGGTTGGAATTATAAAAAGCATCCTTGCTGGTTCTTCACAGGACACTGGAACCCACCCTGTCAATTCAGCTAGCATGTCCACACAGTCTTGATGATCCCTCTCTGTAACAGGCAGCTAACATTAAGAGAAGGGGGAAAGAGAAGAAGAGAGCAATAGCTTATGGGAGAGCTGAGATCTTACTTCGTTGACCCATATTTTTCCCCTGACCAAGTTACCTGTAAACTGGAATTTGCAAGGGGATGCTGTGATGATAACCCCTTTCTATTGCTGTAATGTTCATATAACCTGGGAAACTGAGAGAAGGGGATGTGTAAATAAAAGCTTAAACATTTTAGTAATGTGTTAAAATGTCACTCTCTCTTACCCTGTTTCCCTTTTTTGCCAGATGATGATTTTTTTATTTTTATTTTGTACTTTACTGGATGACTGTGAAGCGATGAGTATTGGGTTGGGGTAGGTGTGTTGATTTTGAGAGTGCATGTTAAGAACTGAAGGGGAACTACTTGAGATGACTTAAGAAGCATCCCATGCAAATATCTTGTTTTGCCCTAATAAAATATTCAGAAAGATATATCTGCCTTTATTCATTCAACCAATACATATTGAGTGCTATCTCTCTGATGGGCAGCACACTGAGCTTTGTGGTTCCTACTTGCTAGTAAACAGATAAGCACATGAACATACATGTCATTTTACAAACTGTTAAGTGCTATGGAGGAAAAGTAAAGAGCTTGGTAAAAGTAACCAGGCCGGGCGCGGTGGCTCACGCCTATAATCCTAGCACTTCAGGTGGATCACTTGAGGTCAGGAGTTTGAAACCAGCCTGGCCAACATGGCGAAATCCCGTCTCTACTAAAAATACAAAAATTAACCAGGCATGGTGGCACGTGCCTATAATTCCAGCTATTTGGGAGGCTGAGGCACGAGAATCGCTTGAACCTGGAGGCAGAGGTTATAGTGAGCTAAGATCACACCACTGCACTCCAGCCTGGGCAATAGAGCAAGACTGTCTCAAAAAAAAAAAAAAAAGACAGTAACCATGATCTGGTTTAGACAGGGGTGAGAGAGAAAACTGAGGACGTGGAGGGTCTGAAATAAAGTACAGTTGGAGCTTGATTAAAAACTGTGTGGGGAGGTGAGGTAGTGGGGAGGTGGTAGAGGCAGACTCACTGGGCTTTGTAGATCTTGGTGAGGTCTTTCTCTTATGCAGGGGGTGGGGGTCAGACTAGTGAAAGGGCTGGGTTTTTAAAAAATTTTTTAAATTATTACCTAAAGTGGAGACAGAGTTTCACTGTGTTGCCCAGTCTCGAATTCCTGGCCTCAAGCAATCCTCCCGTCTCAGCCTCCTGACATACTGGGATGACAGGCATGAGCTGCCACACCCGGCCCAGTGAGGAGTTTAAAGTATGGAAACAGATAACTCTCAGTGTTTTTGTAGACATGGACAATTTGATAAAGTTTATATGGAAATCTAAAGGACCTAGAATAGTCCAAACGATTTTGGAAAAGAACTTACACTACCTGATTTCAAGACTTTCTGTAAAGCTACAGTAATCAAGACACTACTGTTGGCATTAAGATAGTCATGTAGATCAGTAAAACATACTAGAGTCCAGAAATAGACCCACACATAGAAGGTTGGTTGATTTTCAACAGAGTTGCCAAGGTAGTTCCAGTGGGGAAAGTACAGATAATTCAACTAATGGTCCCAGAACAACTAAATATCCATATGGGCAGAAATGACCTTCAACCCTTAACTCATAGATATACAATAATTCAAAATAAATCACCTGAACACAAAAATTAAAACTATAAAATGTCTAGAAGAAAACAGAAGAGAAAATCTGTGACTTTAGGAATGATTTCTGAGGACACAAAAAGCATTATTGATAAGTTGGACTTGATCAAAATGAAAATTTCAAAAGACTGAAAATGAAAAGCAAACCCCAGGCTGGAGTAAAAGATTCAGAATACATGTATTTGATAAAGGCTTTCTATACAGACTATAAAGAACCCTTAAAATTTAGTAATCTATTCATAAAAAAATAGATAAAAGATGGAAAAGACATTTCACAAAAGAGGTAAACTAATGTCCCATAAGCTTATGAAAAAATGCTTAACATAATTAGTCATCAGGGAAGTGCAAATAAAAACTACAATAAGATTCTACCACCCCAGCCTGGGCAACATAGCAAGACCCCATCTCTACTAAAAAACTGAAAAATTAGCCAAGCATGGCGGTGCATGCCTGGAGTCCTAGCTACTCAGAAGTCTGAGGTGGGAGGATCCTTTGAACCCAAGAGTTGAAGGCTACAGTGAGCTATGATCACACCACTGCACTCCAACCTGGGAGACAGAGCAAGGCACTGTCTCAAAAAAAAAAAAAAAAGCCTGGCGTGGTGGCTCATGCCTGTAATCCCAGCACTTTGGGAGGCTGAGGGTGGCGGATCATGAGGTCAGGAGATCAAGACTATCCTGGCTAACACAGTGAAACCCCGTCTCTACTAAAAAAAATACAAAAAATTAGCTGGGCATGGTGGCGGGTGCCTGTAGTCCCCACTACTCAGAAGGCTGAGGCAGGAGAATGGTGCGAACTCGGGAGGCGGAGTTTACAGTAAGCTGAGATTGCACCACTGCACTCCAGCATGGGCGACAGAGGGAGACGCCGTCTCAAAAAAAAAAAAAACCAAAAAACAAAAATTCTACCACCACTCCCACCAGAATGGCTGAAATTAAAAAGAATTACAATATCAAGTGTTGGCAAAGATGTGGAGCAACTGGAGCTCTCATCAGTTGCTGGTGGGAATACAAATGGTACATCCACGTGAGAAAATAATTTGGCAGGTTTGAGACAGCAATTCCACTCATAGATAAATTTAAATTTTTTATTTTAAAATATTCATCTATTTATTTTGAGACTGAGTTATGAGACTGGCTAATTTTTGTATTTTTGGTAGAGACAGGGTTTCGCCATGTTGGCCAAGCTGCTCTTGAACTACCGCGCTCAAGGGATCTGCCCACCTCAGCCTCCCAAAGTGCTGGGAGTACAGGCGTGAGCCACCACATCCGGCCCACTTATAGATACTTAAGAGAAATGAAAGCATGTCTGCATGAGGACTTACACTTGAATACAGTCACTATGCATAACCAGAAACAAAAAACCATAATGGTGAATGGATAAACACATTGTAGTATGTGCATAAAATGGAATATTACTCAGCAATGAAAAGGAACAAATTACTGATACCTACAAGATGGACAAATCTCGGCCACATGCTGATGCTAGTGCACGTGGTGTATGGGGGAAAGAAACATGATGAGAGAAAGAAGCCAAAGAAAAGAATACATAAATATTCCATTGATACGAAATTCTACAAAGGGCAAAACTATTCTATGGTAACAGCAGGATCAATGGTTGCCAGGAGCCAAGGGTAGAAGGAGGTAGGGATTAACTATACAAAGGGACTATTAAAATGTAATTTTCCAAAAAGCATGAATCGGCGGGGCATGGTGGCTCACACCTGTAATCTCAATGCTTTGGGAGGCCGAGGCAGGTGAATCACCTGAGTTCAGGAGTTCAAGACCAGCCTGACGAATATGGTGAAACTAAATCTACTAAAAATACAAAAATTAGCTAGGCATAGTGATGTGCGCCTGTAGTCCCAGCTACTTGGGAGGCTGAGACAGGTGAATCGCTTGAACCCTGGAGATGGAGGTTGTAGTTAGCCAAGATTAAGCCACTGCACTCCAGTATGGGTGACAGAGCAAGACTCAGTCTCAAAAAAATAAAAATAAAAAAAATAAGCATGAAGTCATGTCTCTTATGGATATAAAAGTGAACACGTGTTAGGCCAGGCATGGTGGCTCACTCCTGTAACCCCAGCTCCTCAGGAGGCTGAGGCGGGAGAATCACTTGAACTCAGGAGCCAGAGGTTGCAGTGAGCGGAGCTTGCGCCATTGCACTCCAGCCTGGGCAACAGAGCAGATTCCATCTCGAGGAAAAAAAAAACAATGAACACGTGTTAAAGACTTTACTTATTAATGAGGAAACTGGTAAGGGCATTAAAACCAATTCAAAGGAGATATTGAAAAACCAACATTTATAAATCAGGAATATCGAAATTAATGTCCAAATGAAGGCAAACTTGTTTCTTCCACACTGGGAGAAGGAAGTCAATCAAACTTCTACAGGACAGGACAGATTGCACGTTTCTATGGACAAGAATTTTGTTTTTGCTACCAGTTAACCTACAACCTACAGAGCAGTAGTTCAAAGGCAATGAAAGACTAGAATCAAATAGCCTGGAAGCATGTACGCTATGTACACAATGCAGTTTTCCACTGGTGCACAGTTTTTTTCTACAGCGCACAGAAGGAAATTGGAATGGTGGGAAGGTTCTACATCATGATTGTGGTGGTGGTTACACAGATGTATACATTTGCGAAAACTAAATGGTTCAATTAAAATGGGTGTGTTTTATTATATGTAAATTATATCTCAATGAAGCTTATTTTAAAAAGGAAAAATAGGCCGGCCAGGCGCAGTGGCTCACGCCTGTAATCTCAGCACTTTGGGAGCTAAGGCGGGCGGATCACCTGAGGTCCAGAGTTCAAGACCAGCCTGGCCAACATGGTGAAACCCTGTCTCTACTAAAAATACCAAAATTAGCCGGCAGTGGTGATGGGTGCCTGTTGCCTGTAATCCCAGTTACTTGGGAGGCTGAGGCAGGAGAATCGCTTGAACCTCAGATGTGGAGGTTGCAGTGAGCCAAGATTATGCCATTGCACTCCAGCTTGGGCGACAACAGTGAGACTCTGTCTCAAAAAAAAAAAAAGGCTAGGTGCAGTGGCTCACACCTGTAATCCCAGGCTTTGGGAGGCCGAGGTGGGTGGATCACCTGAGGTCAGGAGTTGGAGACCAGCCTGGCCAACATGGTGAAGCCATTTCTACCGAAAAAAAAAAAAAAAAAAAAAGTTTCGTTGCGGTGGCTCACGCCTGTAATCCCAGCACTTTGGGAGGCCGAGGTGGGCAGATCACCTGAGGTCAGGAGTTCAAGACCAGCCTGGCCAACATGGTGAAACCCTGTCTCTACTAAAAATACAAAATTAGGCAAGCATGGTGGGGCACGCCTGTAATCCCAGCTAGCTCGGGAGGCTGAGGCAGGAGAATCGCTTGAACCCCGGGAGGTGGAGGTTGCAGTGAGCCGAGATTGCACCATTGCACTCCAGCCTAGGTGACAAGAGCAAAACTCCATCTCAAAAATAAATAAATAAAAATACAAATAAACTAGCTGAGCATGATGGTGGGTGCCTGTAATTCCAGCTACTAGGGAGGCTGAAGGCAGGAGAATCACTTGAACCTGGGAGGCGGAGGTTGCAGTGAGCCGAGATCACGCCACTGCACTCCAGCCCGGGGCGACAGAGCGAGACTCCATCTTAAAGAAAAAAAGAAAAGATAATCAGCTTCATGGGGAGTGGGGGAGGGTAAAAACAAGAGTGGGTGCAGCAGGACCAATTAGGCTATTTATAGTTGGGGGCGTGGCTTGGAGTCCAGTGGTGATGCTCTTCATGGAGACAGGTGCTCATGAATGAATGAACTCATTGTCTTCCAAGTCTCCTTTCATCTGGTGGAAGGTGCAGGAGTGTGGTAAAAAGACAAAATAATAGGCAGGATGTAAAAATATTTATACCAAAAAAAAAAAAAATTCCTGAAAAAGAACAAGGTGGCCTTGCCTTTAGTCTAGTAAATGCAATATGGTCTAGCAGGTGCTCATAAACAGGGTTTCTTTAGGCTAACATTTGAGTGTTTACCATGTACCAGGCACCCTATTAGGTTGCACCATATGAAATTGCCAATATTCGACCTTTTGAACAAAACATGGCAACTTCATATAGTTCATTCTAATACAAATTCTCAACATGGAAACCTGGCTTCTCATTTACTCACATTTACTTCTCATTTACTCACATTTACTTCACATTTACTTCTCATTTACTCACACTTCTCACACTTGGTGCCCAGGTGAGAGGGGTAACCTCTCCTGCTCCCGGGCCCCCACACTTTTACAGATGACAAGAGCACGAAGACGTCAAATAATTTGTCCAATAATATCACCTACTTGGTAAATGGTGAAAGATTCCAGTCCCCATGGCCGAATCCAGACCCAGGTTGTCATCCCTGTGATGCACCATTCAAAACCCTGCAGCTGTGCCCCTGGGAATAGGAGTAGTTCCAGAAAAGCACACAGTCCCCCCACAGTCTTACTCTAACTTGACCCAGACCCAGCAGTTTACACCAGTAGCTGGGCTTGCTCTTCATCCTCTCTACCACCCCTGGGGATCCACCAACCCTGCCCTGAAACTTGAGTCATCCTTTGTGCGCCCTGCTATGACCCCTGGGTGGGCATGTCCCCAGTGCCTTGTGACTGCTCCTCACCGACCTGTCCCAACCCCTCCCCCTACCTGGTGTCACTGCGTTCACATTCCCAAGCTGCCCCATCCAGATTGGCACTGCCTCTCAAGAGTTCCTGATCTTTGCCACAAGCTAAGGTTTTGTGTCGGTTGCTCAGAGGCAGGCCATCTTGGTGACCCTCGTGGCCTACGTGAGGATCCCTGCACCAAGGGTCCCACTGGATGAAGTGGGCAGTTTCACTGTTTCACCCAGGATACAACTAGGCGACGACCAGACTCCCGGCTGTCCTTCTGGGACTTTATCCTCACATCTGAGTCTCAACTTTCTCCTGTTTTGTTTTCTGAGACAGGGTCGCACTCTGTCGCCTAGGTTGGAGTGCAATAGTGCAATCTCGGCTCACTGCAGCCTCTGCCTCCCAGGTGCAAGCGATTCTCCCACCTGTGTGTGGGCCAGGTGCGCCGGACCTCGGGGCTCCCACCCGCTGGGACTACGGGTGCGCGCTGCCACGCCCGGCTAATTTTTGTATTTTTAGTAGAGACGGGGTTTCACCTTGTTGGCCAGGCTGGTCTCAACTCCTGACCTCAAGTGATCTTCCTGCCTCGGCCTCCCAAACTGCTGGGATTACAGGCGTGAGCCACCGGCCGACTCTCCGGTTTTTAAAAGTGCTCTGAGAACATTCCGAGGACACTGGGTGCAGAATGGCAGGTGCTGGCTTGTGCCTCTGCTCTGGTCTCCACCTCCGGCAGTAGACTGGGAAGAGCCCTGGGGGAGTTACTTCTAGGCTTCCTCCCCAGCAAACCTTCCTCGAGGCATAACCAAACATCTGCCCGGCATCCGAAGACTCGCGCCACTCTCCCGTCGGGCTGCGCCTCCCTCGCCCGCGCGGCACCGCCGGTCCAGGTCGCAGTTGGAGCGCGGTCGGGGAGGGCAGAGGTGGCGTCGGACCCTCAGGGCCCCGCAGGAGTCGCAGCGCAGGGCCGGAGCGCGCCGGGCCGCAGCTTCCCGCGAACAGGAATTCGCTGGGGGCTGCGACGGCGACAGCGGCGGGGACTGAGGGCGGGGAGGCGGCCAGATCAAAGAGAGCCGCCCACAGGGTCAAGACGGGTCGGGGAGCGCCGAGGGGCCCCTCGGAGGAGGGTGGGGGACGTCCAGGTGCGCGGACCCTAGAGCTGTGCGGGCGCCCACGCGAGGAGCCGGGGCCAGAGAGGCTGTGCGAGCTGCGCGCCCCCGCCCCGCGCGGCCCCGTGCCCCGCGCGCCCCTCAGGATCGCCGGGTCCCGCCCCCGGAGGAGGCGAGGCGGGGCGCGACTGGGTTCGCGGCCGCGTGCAGAGGTGCAGGCAGAGCAGCCTCGGAACCGAGACGATGCGTGCGCTCCGCGACCGAGCCGGGCTCCTCCTCTGCGTGCTGCTGCTGGCGGCGCTGCTGGAGGCGGCGCTAGGGCTCCCCGTGAAGAAGCCGCGGCTCCGCGGACCACGGCCTGGGAGCCTCACGAGGCTCGCAGAGGTGAGTGGCGGCGGCACCGGGCTGCGGAGCGCGCTGTCGGTCCCACCTCCCCAGCCCGCCGGCTCCAGCCGTGCGGGGAGCGGGACCGGGACACACACAGGCAGCGACCCCCCGATGGAGAGAGGGGCCGGGGCCGGCCGGAAGCTCCCGGACACCGGGCGTTGCCCAGGTGCGCCGGACTTCGGGGCTTCCACTCCTCGCGCGTGACCGCGAGCCGGGCTGCCGCGGACCAGCCGGGTGACAAGTTTGACTTCTGTGCGGAGTGAGGTGGCCGACACTCCACGGTGGCCGGGCTTCCTCGCCCTGAGCGGACCTCGCCTGCAGCCCCCTTTCCAGGTGCGCGCTAGCTCGGAGAGGAGTCCCGCCGGTGCGAGGAATCTGGCGCTTTGCGGAGTGGCGGGCCAGGGCCGCTGAGGTTCAAACGGTCAGGTGAGCCCCTTCCATGAGACAAGCGGAGGCACAGTGGGGCTCTCCAGCCGCCGGCAGGGGTGGCCAGCCTGAGACTGGCTCTGTCCTCGTGGCCTGTGGGTGGGCATTGGGGTATAAAACAGGAATGAGATGGAAGAGTGGTGTTGGCCATGGAGAGAAGCCATGGTCTGTCAAACCCTGTGTCTTCCAGTCACTGAGGGGTCTACAGTCCAGCTTATTGCCCCCTGGAATGCAGCGGACGTTCATTCCCATGGGGACAAAGACAGCCAGACTTGTATTAGGGTATGCAGGAGCAGTCCTATGTGGCAGGTGGTCTTAGGTCTTGGGTCCTGGGTCCTTCCATGTACTAAGCTGTAGGAGGCCCGAATAGCTCTTCCCATCTTGCCGTTTTTCCTTCCTTCCTTCCTTCCTTCCTTCCTTCCTTCCTTCCTTCCTTCCTTCCTTCCTTCCTTCCCTCCCTCCCTCCCTCCCTCCCTCCCTCCCTCCTTCCTTCCTACTTTTTCTTTCTCCCTCTCTTTTATTTTATTTTTGGGACAGGATCTCTCTCTGTCACCCAGGCTGGAGTGCGGTGGTGTGATGATAGCTCACTGTAGCCTCAACCTCCCGGACTCAATCGATCCTCCAGCCTCAGCCTCCTGGGTACCTGGGAGCGCAGGCATGCACCACCACACCTGGCTAATTTTTTTTATTTTTTATTTTGTAGAGATGGGGGGGTCTCACTGTGTGTCCCAGGCTGGTCTTGAACTTCTGACCTCAAGCAATCCTCCTGCCTCAGCCTCCCATAGTGCCAGTATTACAGGCATGAGCCATGGTGCCCAGCCATTCTTCTTCTTCCTTTTTTTTTTTTTTTTTTTTTGAGACAGAGCCTCATTGTGTTGCCCAGGCTGGAGTGCAGTGGCACGATCTTGGCTCACTGCAACTTCTGCCACCCGAGTTCAAGCTATTCTCCTGCCTCAGCCTCCCAAGTAGCTGGGATAACAGGCGCCTGCCACCGCGCCTGGCTAATTTTTGTATTTTTAGTAGAGACAGGGTTTCACCATCTTGGCCAGGCCGGTCTTGAGCTCCTGACCTCATGATCCACCTGCCTCGGCCTCCCAAAGTGCTGGGATTACAGGTGTGAGCCACTGCACCCAGCCATTCTTCCCATTTTTGAGATGACGACACTGAGGGTCCATATAGGCATGCAGGGTGTGGGAGATTGTGAGTGAGTGAGTGAGAGAGTGAGAGCCAGAACTTGTCCAGACTGCTGAAACCCTCCAAAGGCCGTGGGAAGGAATGGGGAGACTGGCTGCACTTGAGGATGTGTCTGTAGACCAGTTTTGCTACCTTTTTTTCTGCCCCCTTAAGGAGTCTTTTAGGTTTTTTTCCTGTCCCCACTCCCCATGAATTTTTTTTTTTTTTTTTTTTTTTTTTTTTTTTTTTTTCCTGAGATGGAGTCTCACTCTGTCACCCAGGCTGGAATGCGGTGGCACAATCTTGGCTCACTGCAACCTCCGCCTCTCGGGTTCAAGCAATTCTCCTGCCTTAGCCTCCCCAGTAGCTGGGATCACAGGCTCACGCCACCACGCCCGGCTAATTTTTGTATTTTTAGTCAAGACAGGGTTTCACCATGTTGGCCAGGCTGGTCTCGAACTGGCTGGTCTCGAACTCCTGACCTTATGATCCACCTGCCTAGGCCTCCCTAAGTGCTGGGATTACAGGTGTGAGCCGCCACGCCCGGCTATTTTTTTTCCCGGAGACGGAGTTTTGCTCTTGTTGCCCAGACTGGAGTGCAATGGCGTGATCTTGGCTCACCACAACCTCCGCCTCCTGGGTTCAAGCGATTCTCCTGCCTCTGCCTCCCGAGTAGCTAGGATTACAGGCATGCGCCACCACACCCAGCTAATTTTGTATTTTTAGTAGAGATGGGGTTTCTGCATGTTGGTCAGGCTGGTCTTGAACTCCCGACCTCAGGTGACCTGCCCACCTCAGCCTCCCAAAGTGCTGGGATTACAGGCGTGAGCCACCATGCCCGGCTGAATTTTTTTTTTTTTTTTTGGCATGGAGTCTTGCTCAATCTCGGCTCACTGCATCCTCCACCTTCCAAGTTCAAGCGATTCTCCTGCCTCAGCCTCAAGAGTAGCTGGGATTACAGATGCCTGCCACCACGCCCAGCTAATTTTTGTATTTTTTTAGTAGAGATGGGGTTTCGTCATGTTGACCAGGCTGGTCTCAAACTCCTGACCTCAAGTGATCCATCTGCCTTGGCCTCCCAAAGTACTGGGCTTACAGGTGTCAGCCACCACGCCCGACCTCCCCATGACATTTTAATACCATAGATACACTGTCTATGTATTATAGCCCTTTGGAATGTCACAAACCATTGTAATATCTTAAGACTTTTTGGTCCCTCACAAGATCTAGTTATTGCCCCTATTGAGAATGCATCCTTTAGACTGGCTCTTCTCAGCCTCGGCACCCTCGTCATTTTGGGGCATATAATTCTTTGTGGTAGGGGCTGTTGTCTTATGCTTCATAGAACGTTTAGCAGCATTCCTGGCCTCTACCCACTAGGCGCCTGTAGCACTTGCCGCCTCACGAGGCCCAGACACTCCACATGCTTCCTGTGGGACACCCTATCCCCACTGCCCGTAGTGGAGAATGACTGTTGTAGACAGATGAGGCCTCTCGCCAGTCCCTCCTCCTACATGGAGATGACAGTGATAATAAAATTAACTAAATTGGCATTGTTTCTGCTCACTTGGCATGAATACTTTCTATTTTAGTACTTACTGCTTTGTATTGTAATTATTTTTAGCATGTTTGCCAAATCTTCCCCTAACAAGAACACCCTAGAGGATGAGTTATTTCAGAGCCAAAATCATATCCTCAGCTCCCGTACAAAGCCTGGCAGAGTCATCAAAAACATGTGAAAACAAATTAGTGCCACAATGAAAAAGCAGAGCTTAGAGTCTAGGCCTTGGAGTTCTGGTCCCAGTGGGTCATTAATGCATGTGTGACTCACCTCGGATGATTTCCTCACATTTAAAAAGAGGGGCCTGCGTGGTGGCTCACACCTGTAATCCCAGCACTTTGGGAGGCCAAGGTGGGAGAATTGCTTGAGCCCAGGAGTTCAAGACCAGCCTGAGCAACATGGCGAAAACCCATCTCTACCCCCCAAAAAATACAAAAATTAGCTGAGCGTGATGGTGCGCCCCCCGTAGTCTCAGCTACTCTGGAGGCTGAGGTGGGAGGATCTCCTGAGCCCAGGAGGCAAGAGTTGCAGTGAGCTGAGATCGCGCCACTGCACTCCAACCTGGGTGACAAAGCGAGACCCTGTCTCAAAAATAAATAAATAAAATGAAAAAAGAGAGCTGAGAGAGCCTAAGTCATCTTTATGGTTCTGTCCAGCTCTGACATCGTTCCATGAGTCTTCATGATTTGTGTTAAAGCTGTCTATGGCAAAGGTGTTAGTTTAAGGAGTCATGTTGAGAGAATGCAGATTGCTATTCTAGGGACTTGGGTGGCGTGTCACAAATAACTGACCAGGCTGGGTGCAGTGGCTCACACCTGTAATCTCAGCACTTTGGGAGGCTGAGGAGGGTGGATCACTTGAGGTCAGGAGTTCAAGACCAGCCTGGCCAACCTGGTGAAACCCCATCTCTACTAAAAATACAAAAATTAGCCGGGCATGGTTGTGGGCACCTGTGGTCCCAGCTTATTGGGAGGCTGAGGCAGAAGAATTGCTTGAACCTAGGAGGCAGAGGTCATAGTGAGCCGAGATTGTGCCACTGCACTCCAGCCTGGGAGACAGAGTGAGTCTCCATCTCAAAAATTAAAAAAAATTGAAAAATAAAAAAGAAATAACTGACCAGCCCAAAGACCTTAATGAAGAAGCTAAAGAACATCAAACCCCTGAATCTAAAAGTAAAGGTTGCTGAAAGGGAAGTGAGCATTTTCTGGGCCTTACAGAGTCCATATGAATTACTTAACATGAGAATATTTCATTGTTACACCACTTTGACATGGGCATGATCTCCATTTTCCAGATGAAAAATGGAGGCACAGAAAAGTTAAGCCTAGCCAGGAGCCAGGTCTGGGACCTTATGGTACATCTTTGCATGTCATGTTCTAGTCTGCTCATCTGAAGTCTTGAAAAGAATCACAGGGCCGGGAACGGTGGCTCACGCCTGTAATCCCAGCACTTTGGGAGGCCGAGGCGGGCGGATCACAAGATCAGGAGATCAAGACCATCCTGGCTAACACGGTGAAACCCCATCTCTACTAAAAATACAAAAAAAAAAAATTAGCTGGGCATGGTAGCAAGCACCTGTACTCCCAGCTACTCGGGAGGCTGAGGCAGGAGAACGGCGTGAACCCGGGAGACCGAGCTTGCAGTGAGCCAAGATCGCGCCACTGCATTCCAGCCTGAGCGACAGAGCGAGACTCCATCTCAGAAAAAAAGAAAAGAAAAGAATCATTCGGCTGGCCGCAGTGGCTCACGCCTATAATCCCGGCACTTTGGGAGGCCGAGGCAGGTGGATCACTTGAGGTCAGGAGTTTGAGACCAGCCTGGCCAACATGGAGACACCCCATCTCCACTAAAAATACAAAAATTAGCCAGGCGTGGTGGTGGGCGCCTATAATCCCAGCTACTTGGGAGGCTGAGGCAGGAGAATTGCTTGAACTAAGGAGGCAGAGGTTGCAGTGTGCTGAGATCGTGCCACTGCACTCCAGCCTGGGTGACAGAGCAAGACTCCCTCTCAAAAAAAATAATAATAAATAATTAGCCTTGTGAACAAAATATGGCCCCTGCTTCTCTGGGCAGGCCTGTTGCTGAGCCTCAGTTTACTCCCACAGTAAAATAAGAACCCATTCTGTCAGATGCAGTGCTGGGTGAAAAAGCACCAGACACATGGATGGTGACATCGTCATAAAAACAGGTTGTGGGCCAGGCATGGTGGCTCATACCTGTAATCCCAGCACTTTGGGAAGCCAAGGCAGGTGGATCACTTGAGCTCAGGAGTTCAAGATCAGCCTGGGCAACATGGAGAAACCCTGTCTCTACTAAAAATACAAAAATTAGCCAAGCTTGATGGCATGCACCTGTAATCCCAGCTACTGGGGGCTGAAGTGGGAGAATTGCTTAAGCCTAGGAGTTTGAGGCTACAGTGAGCTGTGATTGATTGCACCACTGCACTCCAGCCTGGGTGACAGAATGAGACCCTGTCTTTTTTTTTTCTTTTTTTGAGATGAAGTTTCGCTCTTGTTGCCCAGGCTGGAGAGCAATGGCACAATCTTGGCTCACTGCAACCTCTGCCTCCCAGGCTCAAGCGATTCTCCTGCCTCAGCCTTCCTGAGTAGCTGGGACTACAGGCATGTTCCACCATGCCCGGCTAATTTTGTATTTTTAGTAGCTATGTTGGTCAGGCTGGTCTCGAACTCCCGACCTCAGAAGATCTGTCTGCTTCAGCCTCCCAAAGTTCTGGGATTACAGGCGCGAGCCACCATGTCTGGCCGATCCTGTCTTCAAATAAATAAATTAATTAAATAAAAGAGGCTGGGCCAAGCCAGGCATGGGTAGTGCATGCCTATAGTGCTAGCTACTTGGAGGGTGGGTGGGAGGATCACGAGGAGTTCGAGGCTGCTCTGAGCTGTGAACACACTACTGTACTCCATCCTGGGCAACAGAGCAAGACCCTGTCTTGAAAAAAAAAAAAAAAAAAAAGGCTGGGGCCAGTTTGTTGAGTGCTGGACAGGCAAAGAGTGACCCAGCTCTGTCTTGGGTATTTTCTGTTCTAGTTAGGATGAGAACACCACTCAAACAGCCGCCATGTGTGTTCCTTGTCTTATTATCATTTTAGGGATGAGAAAACTGACAGCGGGCCCAGTAACTAACCCAAGGTTAGTATGTGGTGAGCCAGGATCCCCACTCAGTTTTGCTTAATTCCAGAGCCCCTGGGCACCTAAACCTGGCACCCACCACCTCCCTGGCAGGCAAGGGAAGACCTTGGCATGGGAGAAAGAAGAGCTGGGGACTTGGTGCCACAAAGGGGTTGAGGGGGTTAGAATTAGGCAAGAGAGGCTGGGTGTGGTGGCTCATGCCTGTAATTCCAGCACTTTGGAAGGCCAAGGTGGGAGGATTGAGGCCAGGAGTTCACAGCTCCTGTGAGCTGTGATTGCACCAGTGCACTCCAGCCTGGACTACAGAGTGAGACTCTGTCTTTATTTAAAAAAAAAAAAAGGTGGGGGGCTGGGCGGTGGCTCACGCCTGTAATCCTAGCACTTTGGGAGGCTGAGGCAGGCGGATCCCCTGAGGTCAGGAGTTCAAGACCAGCCTGGCCAACATGGTGAAACCCCGTCTCTACTAAAAATACAAAAATTAGCAGGGCTTAGTGGCAGGGGCCTGTAATCCCAGCTACTCGGGAGGCTGAGGCATGAGAATCGCTTGAACCCAGGAGGTGAGGTTGCAGTGAGCCGAGATTGTGCCTCTGCACCCCAGCCTGGGTGACAGAGTGAGATTCCATCTCAAAAAAAAAAAAAAAAAAAAAAAGACCAGACGCGGTGGCCCATGCCTGTAATTCCAGCACTTTGGGAAGCCAGGGCGGGTGGATCACCTGAGGTTAGGAGTTGGAGACCAGTCTAGCCAACATGGTGAAACCCTGTCTCTACTAAAAATACCAAAAAAATTAGCCGGGCATGGTGGCAGCCACCTGTAATCCCAGCTACTTGGGAGGCTAAGGCAGGAGAATCACTTGAGCCCGGGAGGCAGAGGTTGCGGTGAGCCGAGGTCATGCCACTGCACTCCAGCCTAAGCTGCAGAGTGAGACCCTATCTCTATTTAAAAATAAATAAATAAACAGAGGAGACCTGAGAGAGGACTGTTCTTCCAGTCTGCAAAGACTGTCCCACCTGGAGCGGGATGGGGGTGGTTTGTGCTGCCGCAGCAGGGGTTAAATGGCCATGAAAGAAGCGCTTGTTGAGGGTATAGGCTGAGACAGAACAAAGGGCAGAGGAAGGAGCCTGGGGTCCCTGAGAAACCTGAGGCAGTGTCATGAACATGGTGGGGGTGCCCCCCCAGCACTTCAGTCCCGGTCCATTGTCCAGCCAGTTGCCTGGAAGCAGGGGCTGGATTGCCGGAGATTTGCAAGGTCTCACCTGCCAGGTGGGTGGCAATGAGAAGGATGTATTTCCTAAAGGCTGATTTTATCTGGTTGTGGGGTCTTTCTAGCCCAATCAGTGAGTGAGTGCCAGGGGAGAACTAGAACCTAGGTCTGTGTGGTGCCAAGCCTGTGGCCTCACCTGCTAGCCTTCTCCTGCAGCTGGCCACCTTCCTGGACCTCAGCTATGGCCTTCCTTATCCCTCCAGACCATTCAGTCTCTAAAGGGTTGGAAAAGCCCCCAGGGAGGGAGAGAGAGAAGGACAGGAATGAGGCCTGGAAGCTTGGCTGCCCAGAGGCCTCAGGCAAGTCTCCAGCCTCTCCGATCTCAGTCTCAGGTTGTTACGAGGATCAAAGGGAAGGATGGACGTGGAGAGTTGAACATCCTGTATAGTGTTTTGTTCATCCAGCACATTCAGCACCGCAGAGCAGCAGGCGGCAAACCAGAAGGTGCAGCCACTGCCTGGAGTTAGCAAAGCACAAGGCTTAAGAGCACAAACTCCAGCCATACCACTGACATCAAATCCCACTCTGCCAGCCCCTAGCTGTGTGACTCCAGGCAAGTTACGTTACCTCTCTGATCC